>NC_000007.14:48422060-48725090 GCF_000001405.40 Homo sapiens | reverse complement strand
TGGAGCTTTAAGATTTGACTGCCCTACTAGATTTTGGACTTGAGTGGGGCCTTTAGCCCCTTTCTTTTGGTTAATTTCTCCCACTTGGAACGGCTGTATTTACCCAACGCTTGTACCCCCATGTATCTAGGAAGTAACTAACTTGATTTTTATTTCACAGGCTCATAGGCGGAAGAGACTTGCCTTATCTCAGATGACACTTTGAACTATGGACTTCTGAGTTAATGCTGAAATGAGTTAAGAATTTGGGGGACTGTTGGGAAGGCATGATTGGTTTTGAAATGTGAGCACATGAGATTTTGGAGGGGCCAGGAGTGGAATGATATGGTTTGGCTGTGTCCCCACCCAAATCTCATCTTGAATTATAGCTCCCACAGTTCCCACATGGTATAGGAATAACCCAGTGGGAAATAACTGAATCATAAGGGCAGTTTCCCCCATACTGTTCTTGTGATAATGAATAAGTCTCACGAGATCTGATAGTTTTATAAGAGTGGCTTGGCTCTCATTTTCACTTGGCTCTTGTTCTCACTTGGCTCTCATTTTCTCTTTGCTGGCTGCTAAGTAAGATGTGCCTTTGCTCTTTCTTTGTCTTCTGCCATGACTGTGAGGGCACCCCAGCCATGTGGAACTGTGAGTCAATTAAACCTCTTTTCTTTATAAATTAACCAGTCTCAGGTATGTCTTTATCAGCAGTGTGAAAATAGACTAATACAGCCAGGAATTCAGTTTTTAAGGTTTTTCTGGGATTCCTATGGCCAAGAGGAAATCTGTTCAGTTGGTTGGGGGCTTAGGATTTTATTTTTAGTTTATAGGCTGATATAGTTTAAATATTTGTCCCCACCCAAATCTTATTGCTCTGTAATCCCCAATGCTGGAGATGAGGCCCCCTGAGAGATGTTTGGATCATGGGGGCAGATTCCTCATGGCATGGAGCTGTCTTCATGACAGTTAGTTTTCACAAGATCTTGTCATTTAAAGTTGTGTGGCACCTTCCCCCACCCAGCACCTTCTCCCTCTCCCTCTCTTTCACTTGCTCCTGCTTTTGCCATGTGATGTGCTGGTTTCCCCTTTGCCTTCCAACATTGCTGTAAGCTTCGTGAAGCATTCTTAGAAGCTGAGCAGATGCCAGCACCATGCTTTCCTGTAAATACTGCAGAACTGTGAGCCAATTACACTTCTTTACTTTATGAATTACCTAGTCTCAGGTATTCCTTTATAGCAATGCAAGAATTACCCAATACAAAAAAAAAATCATAATAGGACTAGGATATTGTTATAAAGATACCTGAAAATGTGAAAGTAGCTTTGAAACTGGTTAACAGGCAGAGATAGGAAGAGTCTGGAGGACTCAGCAGAAGACAGCAAGGTAAGAAAAATTTTGGGACTACTCAGAGACTATTTAAATGGCTGTGAGCAAAATGCTGATAGTGATATGGACAGTAAAATCCAGGCTGCCAAGGTCTCAGATGGAAATGAGAAACTCATAGGGACCTGGAGCAAAGGTCACATGTGTTAAGCCTTAGCAAAGAGCTTGGCTACATTGTGTTCATGCCCTAGGAATCTGTGGAAGTTTGAACTGAAGAGTGATAACCTAGGGGCTGAAAGAAATTTCTAAGCAGCAAAGCATTCAAGATGTGGTCTGGACGCTTCCAACAACCTACCCTCAGATGCAGGAGCAAATAAGTGACCTAAAGCTGCAATTTATTTTAGAAAAGAAGCAGAGTGTAAAAGTTTGGTAAATTTGCAGCCTGGTCATGGGGCAGAGAAAGAAAAAGCTCTTTTGGGAGAGGAATTCAAGCAAGCTGTGGAGCAACCTCTTGCTGGAGATATTTCCATAACTAAAATGGAGTCAAATGCTAATATCCAAGACAATGAGGAAAAGGCCTGGAAGGCATTTCATAGACCTTCTAGGCAGCCCTCTCATGACAGGCCCATAGGCCTAGGAGAAAATGATAGTTTAGTGGGACAGGCCCAGGGCACCACTGCCCTGCAAAGCCTTGAAATAATACTCCCCACTTCCTCGCTGTGTCAGCTCCAGTCTTGGCTCAAAGGTGCCCAGGTACAGCTACAGCTTGGGCTGCCACTCCAGAGGGCAAAAACTATGAGCCTTAGTGGTTTCCATGTGGTGTTAAGCCTAAGGGTGCAAAGAGTGCAAGAATGAATGAGGCTTGACACCCTCCACCTAGATTTCAGAGGATGTATGGAAAACTATGGGTGCCCAGGCAGAAGCCTGCTATGAGGTGAGCCCCCACAGAGAACCTCTATTAGGACAGTGCAGAGGGAAATTGTGGAGTCAGAGCCCCCACATAGAATCCTTGAGGGGCACTGCATAGTGGAGCTATAAGAAAGGGGTCACCATTCTCCAGATTTCAGAGTGGTAGAGCCCTGGCAGCTTGCACCCCGTGCCTGGAAAAGTCACAAGGCACCCAACAACCTGTAAAAGCAACCATGGGGGCTGCACCTTGCAAAGCCACAGAAGCGGGGCTACCCAAGGCCTTGGGAGCCCCCCCACCCCCACCTTGCTCCAGTGTGCCCTGGATATGGGATATGAAAAAAGTAGATTATTTTGAAACTTTAAGATTTAGTAACTGCCCTGCTGGGTTTTGAACTTGCATGGGGCCTGTAGCACCTTTCTTTTGGCTTATGTCTCCTTTTTGAAATAAAAATGTTTACCCAATTCCTATATGCGCATTGTACCTTGGAAGTAACTAACTTGTTTTTTATTTTACAGGCTCATAGGTGAAAGGGATTTGCTTTGTCTCAGATGAGACTTTGGACTTTTCAGTTAACGCTTTCCATTAATGAGTTAAGACTATGAGGGTCAGTGGGGAAGGCATGACTATATTTTGCAATGTGAGAAGGACGTGGGATTTGGGAGGGGGCAGGGGTGGAATGTTACAGTTTGGATATTAAACCCTGTCCAAATCTCATGTTGAATTGTAATTCCAAGTGAGGCCTGGTGGAAAGTGTTTGGATCATGGGGGTGGATCCTTCATGGCTTAGTGCTGTCTTCATAATAATGAGTCCTCACGAGAGATCTGGTCTTTTAAAAGTGTGTGGCACCCCCCCCACCCACCTGCTGACTTGTTCCTGTTTTTGCCATGTGAGGTACCAGCTAATGACTGTAAGCTTCCAGAGGCCTCTCCTTAGAAGCTGAGCAGATGCCAGTCTCATGTTTCCTGTAAAGACTGCAGAACTGTAAACCAATTAAACCTCTTTTTAAAACAAATTTACCAGTCCCAGGTATTTCTTATAGCAATGCAAGAAAAGCCTCATACACATGCCACAGTTAACCCTTCCATTTCGTATAGCTTCCAACTTATAATGAGAATTAGACAACAACATTCTTTCAGGAGAAAAATACAAAGTCCCATAAGAAAAGATTGACAAGAGCCTGTGGGCCATGTGTGGGAATAACCCTGGGGTAACTGGATGGAGGATGACATAAGTGCTTGATCTGGCTCAATTTGTCATTACAGGTACACTTTCTCAAGATTTAGGATTTAATATACTAGCTTATTTTTATGTTATTATAAACGTTTTTCTATTGAGATCAAGAGGATATACTTACAACTGTTACAGTTCTCATTTCGGCATCCAGTCACGAGGTCATAGCTAATATGTATAACTATATTCTTCAGCTCACCATTCATATTTCCTTTTCCCAAAGCAAACACCTTGGCTGGTCATCATTTCTTGTCTGATGCGGTCACCCAATTTTTCACATTTGAAGGATCTGGGCTATTAGATGTTTTGTCTGAAAGATGCTCCATTTTTTTCACTCATGTTAATTATAGCACATAGGAATACTAAGAAGTGACCTAGGGGATCACCTTTATTTTGGACATATTCTTTCTCACCTCAGCAGTGTAGCAGAAACCTAATTTCTCCTTGATACCTAGTGTCAATCACCCTAGTCAGCCCAGTACCTCCTCCTTTGTCTGTTGATTCACAAGCAGGAGAAACCTAAGCGGCCAGGTGTCGGTCTTAACTGCTAGTTTAATGGAATCGTTGTTGTGTCCCCTAATGGAAGCATTTCTTCTTTTGTAACTTAAACTAATCCAGCATGTCTTATCATCATAATGTTATCAATGTAATGGACCAACATTATGTCTTATCGAAGAAAAGGCAACTAAATTATGAATAAGGCAGAAGAGTTGATCTACTCCTCAGATAGGCCCATGAAGACATGGCTAGCTGAAAAGAAAATTTCTTCTGGTGATGTTTCTCAGCAGATATATAGAGAAAAAAAAATCACAGGATACAGAACAGTGTGTCAGATACCAGAGGCTGCATTACTTTTCTAACACAGCAAAACCACATCTGGAATAGCAACTGCTATTTTCTTCAATCATTTCCCAAGATTCACCTGCAAGTTGAATTGGGATGTGGTAGAAATCACTGTCTCTGCATCTTTCAAGACCTAGACAGTGACACTAATCTCTGCAATCCCTCCAGGAATGTGATATTGGTTTTCATTTACTATTTTGTGGTTAGAGGCAAGTGGAAGCCACTACATATATAAGTAAAATGAATTACATACCCACAGATAGTGGTCATTATTATGAAAAAAGAAACTGATGACTTTAAAGGAATCAGAAAAGTCTTTAATTATTTCTTAATTAAACCTAGTGTTTTGAAACAATGTTCAAAAATATTATCTCAAATTGATATAAAATATGGACTAAAAAGCTGCCACTAACCTCAATGTTTTTGGTGTTCGGAACAGATTTCTCATTTAAATAGAATCATGATATCATGATCACAGCTCATTAAAGAATAATTCTCTAAATACTCAGTCCACATTCAAATTTGTCCAATTCTACAGAATCCTCAGGATAGAATCCAGGCATCAGTAGTTTTTAAAGCTGAAGGGTGATCTCTATAGGCAACCAAGGTTGAGCAATACTGCTCTAGCCCATGTATTTCCTGAATGAAATTTAGGTCTAAAAATTTGATTCAATTTAGTTAAAACATTTGTTGCAAGAGTAATTTCCAAGTGAAGTTATCCTTCCTACTGTATCATATGCAGAAGCAACTATTATTCAGATATAGCACTAGTAGTAACATTAATCTCTCAATTAAAATATATTTTTTTCTTTTTTGCAATGATCAAGCTATTTGCACACATTTTATTTGCTTTTTACACTAAAAGAATTCTATTCACCAGAAACTTTTATGAATTAGTAACCATGGGTACTTTCTGACTTAATTTAATATTTTATGAATATTAAAAAATGATGGTATTTCTGATTTTTTCTTCTACATTTATGATCTAAAATTATTCTCTAAAACATGAACTTAACTTCAAAGTTTTAAAAATTATCATGTCAATATTACTACTTACAATAATATAAGTAAATTTTAAAACTTTTTTGTAGTTTTTTAATTTTTCTATAGGATATAAACACTGAAAAAGTGTATATGGTCAGGTCACTATATTTAAACTTACTACTTAAAATATTATATATTCATTTCACCATATTAATATGTAGGTTCATTTGTTTCTGTTTTCAATTTCGAGGTGTGCTTTTTAACTAAATTTTGCTTTTTGAACATGGAAAATATTTACAGAAGTCCAAACTATATAAAAAAGTATATTCAGTAAAATGTTGCTTTCATCCCTGTATTTTTTTATCCAATTCTCCTTGCCTATGAGATAACCATTTGTATTAGATTATGGTTGATTCTTTGAGTGTATCTCTTTTTTTTTCAAAATTAGGCAAATAATTGATTTCAAAGATTACTCCCTGTGATGGTTTATTTTAGGTATCGACTTAACTGAATTAAGGGATATCCAGATAGCTTAGAAAGCATTACTTCTGGGTGTGTCTGTGACTGTTTCCAGAATAGATTGTCATTTAAACAAACAGAGTGACTGAGAAAGACCTGCCTTTATCCAATGTGGGCAGGCATCATCCAATTGGCTGCAAGCCCAGATGGAACAGAAAGGCACAAAGAAGGTGAATTCTCTCCCTCTCTCCTGAAACTGGGACACCCAGCTTCTATCCTTGGGCATCAGAACTCCAGGTTCAACAGCCTTTGGACCCTGGGACTTGTACCAGAGGCTCCCCAGCTTCCCGGCTTCTTCTCAGGCCTTCAGACATGGACTCAGTGTGCTACTGGCTTTCCTCATTCTCCAGTTTGCAGATGACCTATTGTGAAACTTCTCAGCCTCCATAATCATGTGAGTCATCTCTCCTAACAAGTCCTCTCTCAAATGTCTGTATCATTTTTATGATATATATATATTTACATATCCTATTGTTTCCATTTATCTGGAGAACCCTAATATATTACTATATACTTACTATATAGTAAGTATATACTTACTATATACTTACTATATACTTACTATATAGTAAGTATATACTTACTATATACTTACTATATAGATTTCTTCATTGCTTTTTCTTTTTAATTATGGCACACTGATAGTTCAGTCAATTATCAATTTTTATATAGAGAACATTTAAAAAATTAACAGTCTTTGCTCCAATGGAAAAGGCTGTTGTTGGCCAGCAATGGCTAGCATGGGGGCAGCAGAATGGATTCTGTCTTAAGTTTGAGGTTTATCTACTTTTCTTTACACAATGCTGTTTTCTTGTGAACTTTTGAACACTCAAAAGTCAGGAATTACATATAGGCTCATTTTACAATCAAAAGACAAGTGGATAAAATATTATTCATATTACATTTAAGTGGCGAAAACAGCTATTTTAAAAAAAAATTGTTACCAAAAAAAAAAAAGGAAAAATGTCATGAAAGAGGAGGGCTGGGTGAAACCAAGATATTCCATCCTATATATGGAGTCAACACACATATCCCAGAGAAAGTGATGTTTAAGTTGAGGTTTGGTGCATGGTTAGGACAAAGCCAGGAGGACAGGTTCGGTCAAATATGTTTGGAGCATGGAACAGCCTAGAAAAAATGTCATTTCCAAAAAGAGATTGGAAACATATGGGAAATTAGTAGAAACACAATTGTGATAGAGCCCTAGTGAGCTGATAATTCTCTCCAAAATTATTCTTTCTTCTCTTGATTTTGTTAATCTCATTCCTAGAATCCCAGCACTCAACTGAAAAATAGCATCATCTTCAGCTGCGCCTTGTTCAAACCCCCTACATCTACAACCCTGAGGTCATCTTTTTTTTGTCTGTCTCCTCCTCTCCATTCTGTTTGATACTCTGTAATGCAGAAATTGGTAACCACTCATCCATCCTACAAGTGCCCCCATATTCAAATATATATATATTACATAAGGTATCTTTATATTTCTAGTTCAATTCTTTGAATTTCCTGTTAAATTCAAACATTATTATCACAGCCACATTTTATCTCAAAGTGGTCCTTTTGGCACAGATAGTCTTTGAGTATCTTTTACCCCTCATCCTTTTCCATGATCTCCAAAGCTAAGCTCCGGGGTGCTCACTGTGATAGAATATATTATTTTCTAAAGTCTTCGCTCCTCTATGTATTTTGTACCCTTTGACATGTAACTTTGCAGTCTCTCCCACTAAAGGAGAGGAAGACTAGAGGCATAAACAGAGCCATAGCAACTGGTGCACAGTTCCAGAAGAATGACAATAGCGAACCACACAGTGATGGATTAACATTGCTCAAAGGGCAGCTTGGGCCTGGCTCAGCTTCTGGAAGTACCACTAAGCCCTTGGAATGTCCTTTTGGGAAAAGTCAGCATCTTGTCTTGCTTTATAGTACAGTATAGTATAGTATAGTATAGTATAGTATAGTATAGTATAGTATTTATAGTGAAGTCTATTAGGTCCTAAGAACTTTCTTCTTCAGATATACATATCTAGACACCTTCTTCAGCCATCCCTCCTACTCCCACACCCTTATGAAAAATCATGACTCTTCTGAAAATGAGACTTCTGAGAACATGCACCTTCTCCAGATGATGCTCCAGTAGACAGGGCAAGAGTCTGACTTTTACCAAATCTGTCTGACATTTGGTTCATGTAACTGACTTCTGCCAAAACTATCTGGCTTTTTTCTTATAGATTGTATCCTTGTTGTGAAGCAATGACTGCCTTAACTTTAGTAGATGGAGATCTGTTGTGAAATTTAAAATACATTGCATTTTCAATTTCACAACAACAATCTCTGCTCTGATATCTTCCACTGGCTTTGCCACTTACTCTCTGTGAGACCTTGGGTAACCTACTTAACCACCCTGGCCTTGGTCACCTATAAGAGAGGACAAATAACAGTGAGTAACATAAAGCGTTGTTGTGAGTTCAGTGCATAAGCATATAAAATGTACCTAGGATAAAGCTTGGAATATTACTATAATATTGTAAGTATTCAATAAAAACCAGCCATAATAATTATTACTACTCTCATATAATTATTATTAACTTTCTTAGATGCGAGTTAAGCTCCCTAAGGTTCCATTTTGGCTCATCTCTTTTACCAAGTGCATCTGTGCTCTTCACAGTGCTTAGAACATTTCGAATAAGATATTTTATATAGTATTAAAACTTCATCTGAGGCCCTAAAACAGAGAATAAAAGGTGCTAATTTCTCAAAAATTCTAGGGAGATTCCAAACCAACTATATAGAGCATATTAAGTTTCTCCACTATCCCAGAACCAAACTTCAGTGATGAGAATTCAGGGCTGAATTCTGCTACCAGCAGTAACAAAGTCATTGCTGTTTGACTAACCTGCCCATCTATAATAACAAGAAAGCTGAAACAATTGCAGGAATAGTTGTTTAAAAGCATCAGAAAAAAACTAACACAGATATACATCAAAGGACCAAAGTCCCAGAAAAAAGAGAAAGACATGAGATAAATATTAGACTAACACCAGGTTTTTTCTCTGAGGACACTTGTAGACTTTCAGATCAGGAGAGAATCTGAACAAAAAAACGTGAATGACAGCATCTGGCAGTCTCTCTGGCCCACACACACTTAAACTGATGTTGAATGTTACCACAGCATCCAGGACTTAAGGGCTTGGGATCAAAATGAAATGGAAATTTCATGGAGACGAGCTGTCAACACTTTGCACGCAATTCCCCTCAATACTGATTCCTAAATTGCACACACAACAGGGCAAGAATCTGCAAAATTAAGCATCAAGTGGCTTCAACAGAGTAAAAAGCTAAGCAGATATTTCAGAACTTTGGTGATTCTGGGAAGATAAAAAATACAGTTCTGGGCTTGCCAAAGAGGAGAGGCCCTGAGACATAACTCAGGCTTTTTCATGGGACTCTGGAAAGGATATACTATAGCAGTAAAGGTGAACTGAAAGTAAATATCTGATTATACTCTATATGACTAAAAGTATAAATTAAATTCTTTTCTATAGAGCAAAGAAATTTAATTCAGAATTTCTACAAATCATCCTGTACTATATTGAGATTTACCAAGTATGCCAAGAAGTAAGAACAAATAACTAAAACCCGAGAGACTATAAGACATCAGAAGCAGACCAATAGGTGATCTATATATCGGAGTCTATGAATACTTAAATTATTATTATATATTCAATTAAAGGGATGAAAAAATGAAAATTTCACCAGAGAATTAAAATATATAAAATAATAAAACAGAAATTCTAGATATTAAAAGCAATATAAGTGATAGTAAGGATTAATGACAAAAAGTTTCAATATAGATAGGTGAATACACATTAGATGCAGCAGGAAAGAAGATTCATGAACTGAAGATGATTAAGCATAAAACATCCATATTGAACCAAAGAAAGACAAAGAGGAAAATAACAAAAAGAGTAGACACATATGAAGCACAGAGAAAAGGTCTAATATATGTGTAATTAGCATCTGAAATCAGAGAGTAAAGAGAATGGGGAAGGAGCAATATTTGAAGAGATGTTTAGCAAAGGATTTTCTAAAAATGATAAAAAATAATAAACAGATTGTTCTGCAAACCTCACACAAGACAAATGAAAAAATTTCTGACACCATCACATACCATATGCAAACTACTAAAAAATAGAGACAAAGATAAAATTGTCGAAGTAATCATTGAACAATGTGTACACCTTCAAAAAGGCAACAGTAAAACTGACAAGCTAACATTTCAAAAGATGTGATGGAAAAAATGAGGCAATATAATGACATTTATTTTTAATGAGGAAAGGATAGCTGACCATGTAGAAATTTTCATCCAGTGAAAATCTCCTCCAAAAGTGAAGGGGAAAAAAAGAGATGTTTTCAGGCAATCACTAAAAAATTCATTATGATAAAAATGACACTAAAGAAATTACTAAAGGAAGCTCTTGCAGAAAAATGATCCATGATTATTTTCCCAGGAAATTATTTTCCCAGTAAAATAGAATAAGCAGTAGTAGTAAAAAGGGTGAATATGTGAGTAAATGTACATAACGCTTGGCTGTTTAAAACAGTATTAATATTATCTGGTGGATTTAAAATATGTAAAATTAAAATATTTTACTGAAGCAATATGAGAGAAAAGGAGTCTCAATGCAGTTAAAATGTTTTAAAGTCTTTTTATGATTCACAGAGCAGTAAAGACACTGATTTAAGGTAGAATACAATGGAACACTTTCCAATAGAAATACGATGTAAATCATACATGTGAAGTCAGAAATTTTAATAGCTACACTAAAAATTTTTTAGAGAATGAAAAATTTAGAGAATGAAATTAATTTTAATAACATATTTTATTTAATTCTCTATCTCGAATGTTATTTTAATAGATACAAAAATTAATACTGGATATTATGTATTATTTTGTCAGTGTTAAATACTTGAAATCCAGTGTGTATTTTACATCTGCAGCACAATTCAATCTAGCACATTTCAAGTGCTCCAAAATCACATGTAGCCAGTGGCTGCCAGGTTGCACAATAGCACTCAACTATATCAGGGATGCAAATAGTAATTGTGAAGGTAAGTACTAATAAAAATAAGAATTAATAATAATGATTAACAGGCTAACAGATTGAAAAAATATGAAGGAATAAAATATATTTACTTCATACAAACATGCAAGAAAAGGATTGATCAAATAAAAGATGACAAATAGAAAGCATGGCAAGATTGGTGATTTAGACTTAACTGTACTTAGATTTATATTAAGTCAAATAATATAAATAGACTAAAAACTCTAATCAAAAGACAAATAATGTCAATTTGGTGAAATATACAACCAAACTTCAAGCTGCCTACAAGAGAAACAAATTCATTATAAAGAGATAGGAAGTTTTAAAGTACACTGGAAAAACATATACGAGGCAAACACTAACCAGTGAATGCTAGTGCTCCAAGAATATAAAAAGTATAAGGCAAGAATCATTAGTAAAGATTGAAACATATTTTAAAATGATAAATAGATCAATTCAACAAGAAATATAACATTTCTAAATGTGTTACTTCTTCGAATTTAGCGGGAGTTGAAGGAGGCATGTGGTCTGGACAACATGGTATAGACTTGGCTTTCCCTGCTTCTCCCCTCTAGGTCTAACTATAAATCCTGGAAATAGTGCAAGATGCAACAAAAGGCGTATTCTGAAAGATGGGAGGACAAAGGTGAGTTTGTTAGGGACTGAGGACTGAAAGAACAAGACATGGTGGGGTGTCCAATCTTGGAGACAACTTTGGTCTCACAGGTCTGAAACTCCCCTTGCCCTCAGGAGACAGCAGGCAGCCAGACAGTATTGGAAAGGGCAAGGGGATCCCTCCATAACAAGCACTCTGGTAAGCAATTTCTATCCCCACAAGGCATGAAAATCTCTTCTGTCACTTGAGGGACACTGGGTGGTCAGAAAGTACAGGCAAATGGGATCCTGCCTCAACAAGCCACCTGGCTTGGGAAGACTTGTTGTCCCTCCATGGTGGAGAATCACTTCCGCCACCTGGAGAGACCATATGCCCCGTCCTGAGAAAGAACTTTCTGCCCCCTCGGGATGCCAGCAAGGTCCAACAGGAGCCCCAGACACACCATATAAACCAAGTAGAACAAAATACTACTACAAAGGCTCATCTAAGATTTATTTGCATGCTAAATCTAAACAGAAAGCATACCTGCTGAAACAGGAAATTTAAACAGGATCCAGAATCTCATAATAGATATAACAGGCATGCACAGAATACAATTGAAAATCACCTATCTTACCAAGAACCAAGAAAATCACAACCTGAGAAACACAATCAACTGAAGCCAACACTGAAATGATACAGATGTTGGAAATATCTGATGAGGACTTTAAAGCAGCTATCATAAAATTGAATTAATAAGCAATTATAAACTCTCTTGAAACAAATACTAGCAAATCTCAGCAGAAAAATAGAAGTTACTCAAAGAAGACCAAATCAAATTTACCCAGGTATGAATAATATAATAAAAATTAAAAAAACTTGCCAGATGGGCTTCCTAGTAGAACAGAGATGACAGAGAATAGAATCCATGGACCTGAGGACTAATCACTAAAATTTACCCAGTCTGAATAACAGATAGCAAACAGAACCCCCCGCCCCGCGCCCCCCCAAAAAATTGATCAGAGCCTTAGGGATACAGAAAAGTAAAATATTCAACATTTCTACTTAAAGAAATAATGGATAAAAACTTCTTAAAGTTAGCAAAATATATAAACTTTACAAATTTAAATATCTAAATGAATCCCAAATAGAATAAATCCAAAGAAATCTGTATCAAGAAACATCATAATTAATCTTCTGAAAATTAATGACAAAGAAAAGGCTTGAATGTAGCTGGAGAAACTATGTTATCTACAAGAGAACCCCAATTCAAATGGCAGTGAGTTTTTCATCCAAAACCTTGGAAACCAAAAGAAAATGACACAAAACTTTCAAATGATATTTAAGGAAAAAAAACTGAACCACAGATTCTATAACTGGTGAAATTATCCTTAAGGTAAGAAGATGAAATAGAGACCATCTTGGACATAAGAAAACTAAAAGGATATGTAGGATATGTCACTAGTAGACCTACTCTTAAAGCCTGGCTAAAGGAAGGTCTTAAAACAGAAAGGAAATAATAAAGGAAAAAGATCTTAGAGATCAGAAAGAAATAAAAAACTGGACATGGAATATAGATACATAATAATATATTATTTTCTTTATGAATTCTATAAACCATATTTTATTAGTGAAATAAAAATTATTACATTATCTTGTACTCCAGATAATGATATTGAAAAATGAGGACGGTAAAGAGACCTAAGTGGAAATAAACTTTCACAGGACTCACCATTGATACCAATAGACTATGACAAGTCACATGTTAGGTATACTGTGAAACCTACAACAACATTAAACTGTACAAAGAGTTGAACTCTGAAACACTGTAAATAAAGACAGAATTCTTAAAACTGTTCAAGTAACCCACTTGAAACAGAAGAACAAAATGCAAATCAAACAAACAGAAAACAATAAAATGGCAAATTTAATCCGTTAGAAATCAAAGTGTTACTGATTTTAAAATGGGTTCTTTTTCTATGCAGTGATGAGAAGACAATGCATGAAACCAAAAGTGAGCATCAAGCAGTGCAGGCTTTATTCAATGGCCATGGACTTAAGAAGTGGGAGCTTGACTCACAGATTAACTTCTCAATTAATGAGAGACAGGAAGTCACAGATATGGGACATCTTTAATGAAGGGTTTGGGCATTAAAAACAAGGGGAGGAGTATTCTTGTCTTTTCTGGGAATGGGTGGAGAATTCCTCAGAACCGGAGTTGTGGTCTTCCTTTTTGTCCTTTCATAATTTCTTCTGGTCATTGTCATGGTGATTATAAACTGTCATGGCACTGGTGGGAGTGTCATTTAGTATGGAAAATAAATTATAATGAAGTTGGAGGTTCTTCAAAGGCGAAGTGAGCTGGATCTTGAATCTCATCAGTCTTAACTGGTTTGGTCACCAGGGGGAACTTCTGACCTCAGACATCCTGTCTCCTAAAGCTAAGCAGAGTTAAGATCAGGTAGAAATTCAGCTAGGTCACAGAGGCATTACAATGGGTAACAAGATTTTCAGAGTGTGTAAACAAACAGAATTCAATGATATGCTATTTATAAGAAATTCACCTTAAATTCAATAACATAAGTAGCTTGAAAGTAAAATAAAAGACAAAAATAGATTACACAAATGTTAATCTAATAGAAACCAGGTGCCTTAATTGAACATTTTGACTTTGAAACCCCTCTGTTGCATTTATAATTGAAATATGTTCTAACAGGTTGATATAATAAAGATTGTAGTAATTGTATTTATCTGCTTAAACATTCAAATGTTTCTTCCTTTTTTGGTTCTATTTAAGGGGAGACAAAAATTATATACCTACTAACTTAGTCATATTTGTTAAGTGTCAAAAATTATGTCAAGGGCAGTCCTAGAAAACCTGTTGGTAGTTTATCAGGGCTCCACAGACTTGTTTATAATTAACAATGTTATGAACGTTATGTACCATAGGAAGACAGGAATGGATACTATTATTAACTTTTGTAGAGAAATAGAAAAAAAGGTCCCCGAAAATACATTTGTCTCCAATTACATAATTTCTGAGACTTAAAACTTTTCCTACTTACTACTAAAACTAAGGTAAACTTGGAAAAAAAATGATGAAAAAAACTTTAAAAGAGTAGACAAATTTCTAATTTCATGTTTAAGTAACATTCTCGGTAAATGACAGTAAGTGACAGTAAGTAAATCAGAAAGAATATAAAATATTAGAACAATATAATTAATAAATTAATATAATTAGCACACACGAAACCTTTTATTTTATTATTATTATTTTTTTTTAGAGAGAGTCTCACTCTGTCACCCAGGTTAGGATACAGTGGTGTGAACATGGCTCACTGCAGCCTTGACCTCCTGGGCTCAAGCAATCCTCTTGCCTCAGCCTTCCCAGTAGCTGGTGGGGACCCAGGTGAGTGCCACCATGGCTGATTAATTTTGGTATTTTTGTAGAGATGCAGTCTTGCCGTGTTCCCCAGGCTGGTCTCAAACTCCTAGGCTCAAGCAATCCTGCTGCCTCAATTTGGGAGAAATTGTTGGGATTACAAATGTGAGCCACCGCACTCAGCCCACACACATATAAAACTTGAACGCAGATCAAGAGAAGACAATTTTTTTCCATGTGAATGTGTACTAAAATTGATTAAATTCTAAGCTATAACAGAAGTCTTAAAAAATAAGATATGTTAATCTGATCATATGGAAATTAACTTAAAATATTGTCAAACCAAATAACACTAGAAATGTTTAAAACGATTAAGATGAGAATGATTCACAAAATAATAACTTAAAGAAATTCAAATCTTTGGAAATTAAGCAATAAAGTATTAAATATTCCATGGTTCAAAAAAGAAATCAAAATAAAAGAATTTGTTTTAATTTCAATGAAAATTTAGAATTTGGCATGTCAAAAATTATAGAATGGTTCTAAAGCCCTGCTTTTAAAAAGCTGATAGACTTCAGTGGATATATTATTTTAAGAAAAGAAAGAATAAAAATCAAAAATTTAAGTTCAACAAATGAATTTATGTGATCATCTGATTTATGAAAAGGTGACATTGTAATGCCAGGAGGCATACTCCAGGAACAGTGCTGGGTCAGCCAGATATTCCTGAAGAACAAAATGAATCTTTCACATCTACTTCACCATTCACGTATGCCATACTTTTCACGTCACACACACACACACACACACACACACACACACACACACAGAAAAACAACTCTGATGTACCACTAAGTAAACGTGAAAATTAAAACAATACAGGTTCTGGATGGTATCATAGGAAAATGTCTACATTGTCTTGTAGTTGGCAAGGTTTTCTTAAATTGCACACAAAAAGCACCAATCATAAAGCAAAATATTGATACACTGGAATTTGCTAAATCATTAATTACTCTTCATCAGAAGATACTGTAAGACAGTGAATACGCAAGCCACGAAGTAGAAAAAAAAAATTGGAAATGCATGCATCTTACAAAGGATTTATATCCTTTATAAAACAAAATTTCTACAATTCAACAAGGAAAACAAAGGCCTGCCAAAAAAATATGGGAGGAAAACATTGTCATTTGACAAGACATCAGATGGCTGATTTAACCATATTAATGTGGATGAGGTATGGTGAAGCCAGAGGAAGATCAAAAGAGAAGCTTGAAAGAGTTTTACAGTTTTGTTATACTCACAGTTCCCTGGGGAGAACACAGCGTGCCATGCCACAGGGGGCCACTCGTGGGAGCACCAGCGTCAGAGTTGAGCCAGAGGGATAAAGGGCAGCAGTAGGCGAAAACCTTTTTTTGTGGTTTCTGCAGGAATGAAAGGGTTAGGCAGGGCAAACAGGCTTAGGCTTGATGACTTGAAATAATTTCAGTGGGCTTGTTCCTGGTTGTCTGGTACCTGGCTCCGAGGCACATATGGCGACTGAATAGCGGCCAAGGGTCTGAGAGACAAACAAGGAGGTAATTGAGGATCGGACTTAATTGACCCCACAAGAAAAGGGCCTGACTCCTCTCCAGCCGGGGCCTCTAAACTAAGTCAACATAGTGCAAGACAGATCTCCATGTGGCCTTAGACTATCCCAGTTCTCTCTCATTTCTTGTCTATAGTTCTCAAGAATAACTATAGAATGTGCTAACAATGCAACATTCTGAGATAAAGAGGGGCTCTCCAGAGCAGCCCAAGTTCTGTTCCAATCTCTCCTAGAATTGGATGTCTGGCGATGTTTGACAAACAGGAGAACTGTTTCCAAGGTTCCTGAGCTACAGTGCAAGTGCGGCATGCGCAAACGAGACTATGTCCTGGCAGCTTTCCTGAGCCTCTGGGATCAGGCTGTCATGAATCTTAGGCCTCTGTTGTCTCTTTCTAGTTGTCTATAGGTAATAAATCTACTGCATGTAACCTGTGTTTGTAAGTATCCTGAACTTGTGCAAGGAGTAGAAATTGCAGCCCATGATGCTTTGGAATGAAATGATAACCATTGCATGGCGAACCTGCTTTGCTGGCATAATAATAATAAAAAACGCTATATTACTATGGCCAATAAGCATTTGAAATGGTGCTCAACATTATTGTCAGAAAAATGTTATTCAAACCACAATGTGATAATATTACCTACCCACCATAAGAATTAACATTTATAAAAAGTGGCAATCTCAACTGTAGAGACAATGTGGGACAATGAAATTTTCTGATACTCTTAGTAGGAACATAAATTAGCGCATTCTGTATGCAAAATTGTATAGCTATCTACTTAACCCTAAAATTGTGCATGCCTTGTATCACAACTGTTCTGCCCAATGTAAATGCATTTGTATGTGCATCAAAACTCATACAAAATATTAATAAAAGCACCATTTCCAATAGTAAAACTATGGAAACTGCCCAAACGCTCATCAGCAGTTGAATAGGTGAATAAAGCCTTGCATATTTACATGACGGAATGTCATACAGTAAACAAAAAGATTAAACTACTGCTATATGCAGCATGACAAATTTCACAGACATAATGTGAAGAAAACATATTTTTTAAAAAAGAAAAGAAAATCCAGACACAAAAGGGTACTTAACACATAATTCCATTCATCATAAATTAAAAAAAATCCTAATGTATAGTGATGGACATAAAGATATTCATTATTTTTAGAGGTGTAATGAATAGAAAAGGTCATGGTAGAGTCTCTGGGGGCTGACAACGTTCTGCGTTTTGAGCTGGATGATACCCATGAGTATGTTCACTATGTAAAGAAAAATGATGAAGAGTATAATCAAGATTCGCTCCCTTGATCATTGTGTTTTACTTCAACAAACATTACAAGAAAAGATAAAACTCAACCCATTCTTGGGTTATCTAGTAAAGCAAGCTGCTATAAATCCACTGAATATATTACAAAGAAAAAAAATCTTGATAAAACCTGGGCTGACAGAGAACTTCAAGGTATTACTGAGGAAAATAATAAATCAATAATAAAAATCATAATTATCCTTTATGAATACTAGTCATTTTACATACATTATTTTATTTCCTTTTTGCAATAAACCTATGAGGTTGTCATAATTATTCCCATAACATATATGAAGTAACTAAGGCTTAAAGAAATTAAATAACCTCTCCATGATTGTACAGTAGGTCAGAAATGGAATCTGCATTGAGACATGCTTTATTACAAAGCCTATGCAATGGCACAATAAGCTGCATACAAAATAAAATTTCCTTCTGTTGCAGAAAAGCTTAGAATTCATGGAATAGGTCACATTCTTGTACAAGAGATAGATCTAGGGTTGCCAGGTAAAATGCAGGATGCCTAAATAAATTTGAATTTCAAATGAACTATTTTTTTTTTAGAAAAAATATACCTCATAAAAACTTGGGACATATTAAGCACCACATTTTTATAGTCAATTGAACATATATATACTAATGTATTATTTATATGTTACATAATACATACATATTATTTGTTGTTTATCTCAAATTCAAATTTAACTAAGTGTCCTGTCTTTTTATTTGCTAAAGGTGGAGACCTCGGTCAGGATAGGGTTTCTCAATGTTGGCACAATGAACATTTTGGATTGTATAATTCTTTGTTGTGGGGGATTGTCCTGTGCATTAGAGGATGTTTAGCAGCGTCTCTGCTCCACTCACTAGAGTCCACTAGCATCCTCTCTCCACAGTTGTGACAATCAAAAATGTCTGCAGACATTGCCAAATGGTCCTTTCAGTAGAGAGTCAAAGTTCCTCAAGTTGAGAACCACTCGTTCAGGATAAACCAAGATGGGGTCTACTCCCCTGATTGCACTGGTTAAAGAGTCATACCAAAAATGAGTGTGCAAAAACAAAAGCTGATGAGAAAATTAAGTGCATGACACTGAGTTTGTCATAAATAAGTATTCACAAAGTTATGCTACTGAAAAATACCACCCTCATTTCAGAGGATGCATTCAGGCATTCTCAACTAAATTTTGATCTTTCTTTTTCAATGTCCGAGTTTAATAAACTAATTCATATAATGATGGATACTTAAGTTGAGTCTGTTTGGAACATTGATGATTACTGTAGTCAATATCCTAATTATAAAAGCATGAAAACTAAAGAGCAAGATCTCCTATAGCTATTTCCCTAGCCAGTGGTTTTGTTTCCATTTTTGAACATCTACTACATGTTCTCAACAAATTTTTTGGATGAACACTTATTCAGAAAATTAACTCAAAGTCAGCATAATCCTAATTAACCAGTAGTTTTTCTTTCAAACATTTAGGAGAGAAATTCAAGTAATCTCTGCATAAAACAGCTGTTTCTAAGAATCAAAGGCACATTTAGTATCCAACAGTTCTCACACTCCCCTTGCCTCCTACTAGATCTTATATCACTATCCTGGCCCAAGTTTGCATACTTATGAAAGATTTGTAGGTTGGCTCCTCCCTAAGGCATTTCTGGAAGAATTAATTCCCATTCTCCCTGTGGCCCTTTAACACCAGATTTCTGCCCCTGAGTTATCCATTTTCCAGAGTTCTCCGAAGGAGCACCAGACATTCACTGACCAATCCATTCAGGTGGTAACAGATGAATCAATGTTTGCAGGCAGTTTAATTAAATGTTGGAGTTCTCTTATATACCTAGAACCCTACAGGCATGTTGATGATGTCCCAACATACCAAAATGAGAGTTATTAACTTCCTTCTTCACACATAGCTGTGCATTAAACAGGCTGGAGGCACAACATGCAGGAACACGGCAGCTCTATTTTGCAGGAATCATCCTACCTGGATTGTCTTCTCACCCCAAACTTCCTGATCACCTTCTGAGAGAGCTGGCATGTAAGCACTCCCTGTTCTGCAGGGCAAAAGTCATGGAATTCATTTAGAAATTAGCTTCTGAACTTGGGGAAGACATTAATAAATTCATCTGACAAATGCTGATTTTTATAACTGAAGGACAATCTGAGAGGAGTGTGAGTGAACATTAGCTAACCTGGCTGAATTCTGAGTGCTGTAGTGAAAGGGGCTGGATAAAATTCCGGGTCATCAGGCAGGGCCCATTCTGGATCCCGCTGGAGAAAGTGCAGCACTGAGCTCTCGACTCTGCCTAGGGCATAGGACCAGGCTAATCAGGGACTTCACCTGGTATTACAGGTGGGTAAAAATGCCTTTCTGTATATGGGCTCATGTGCATCCAAACCAAGCCAGTGACTCCTTTCCGCTTCCATCACTGTTGGATCTCACAGGCTGAACTTCAGGTTTCGCAGTCTATCTGAACCAGGCTCACAAGGTTTTTGGATTCCAAGATGTGCTGCTGTGTCCATGATATACAGATTGTCTGTTTTGAGGGCCCTACAATACTGAAGGCTTACCTGATAACCCTACCCCCACCTTGGTTGTTTGATGTAGCTTAAAGATGGAAGCTATATAATCCACACCTGAAACTCCCTTCTGCCTTAACCATTTACTAGGCACATGACTTTGGGCAAGTTACTTCACCACTATAAGCTTCTATATTTTCTATATAATCTAGCACAGTAATAGTTACCTTTCAGAAGATTTTAGGAATTGAATGAGGTAGCCTAGGACTTCATTATAGTGCTCTACAAATGTGCTTCTGGCCTTTTCGTTTTGCTAGATCTTGTTTACCACATTGTTGAGCCTCTGCACGTCAGTACACATTGCTGGTTCCCTGGCCACTTGTCCTGTCTCCATGGAAGCTGAGTATGCCTTCTGTAGCCACAATTGCCTGCTGAGGTCTTTCTTTAAGGCTGATAGAGGGTCAAGAATGATAGCATTTCCAAGATTAGAAGAATCTCAGAGTCAAAAACCCAGCTGCTGGAAGACTCCCCCACAGGACAGGATCCATCAGCCCACTGAGTCCACGATGCCCATTCTGACACCCTAATCTGGACAGGAAGTACCATTACCAGAGTCCAACCCTGCGGCCAGAGCAGATTCCCTAACCACAACTGGCTTATGCCAAGCTTCATTTCCAGACCCCAATTTTCTTCACTGAAGTAGACCCTTTTCGTAGCGAAGTCATTTTGACTTAAGTTAAAAACTCAGGGAGTATCTACCTGCCAAGATCCATTTTTGGGGACCCCTTAGAGCATGGACCACAGCTTCAGCCCAGAGTCTCTGCTAACTAAACCACACAGGGCCATTTTACAGAAAACCTAACTATGAGCTCATTTTCTTTTTCTCAGCTTTGGTTGGGATTTTATGCCACTGATCATCTGTCCCATTCTCTCATTGTTTCCTTTTCAACATAAACAAACGCCAGAATTTAGCAGCATTTGAAGCCTACTGCAGAGCTTCCTGTTTTGGCTCATCCTAAGACCCTTCCCTCAACCTCTTAGGATAATTTAGTCCCATATGATGGAAGCATCTGCTTTGTACAGAAAACATGCTATTTCAACATCTGAAAGAGGCAGCCTGATTGGGCCTATCGATGACACAACAGTGTGGCAGCTCCCTTTCAGCAAGTGTCGCAGCTCTGCTTGGAAACAGAGAAAGAGCTGCTACACGCAGATGTTCTCTGAATAGCACTTATGGCAAGAATTGAGGCTTGAACAGCACGCATTTGCTAAGGCTAATGAAAGTCTTGGGGAAAATGAATAACCCAACTTTTAAAATTAGAAGGGGAAAGAGCTATTTACTGATTTTTCAAAAATCGGTTATTCATGCATTTCCTTTAAAATGATTCTATACATTTGTCATTTACTTGGTGTTCCAAGTTGCCCCCTTTCCTTTGAAGCCTCCAAATATATTATATACTTTAAAATGCACAAATTACCATGTTTGCTTTCAAAGAAGGACATATGCACCACAAATGGGTTTGCAGGTGTCTCTTCCATCCTTGGTCATTCAAATGCCATCCACCGTGCACGGCTCCCAGGTTGGAGCACAAATGCTACTGCTGATGGGAAAGCTGGCTTCTGAATGTCTGCCTGCTTGGACAGGTGCTGAATATTAGGTACTCTCAAGTATCCAGCCAAAGAGGAGAAGCCATGGACAGAACCTGTGGGACAGGACTTAATACAGCCTACTAGACTCAGTTGCTCCAGGCTGGGATGGCTGGTGAGGGCTGACTAGGATTTAACATAGTTCTCCCCACCAGCAGTGCAGCATGATGTGGTGGACAGATTCAGTTCCCTTATTTATTATTATTATCTATCTATTTATTTATTTATTTTTACAGTGAGCTGGGCACTACAGTAGGTCTCCAGTGTAGACTGATAAACAGAACATACCTAGTTCCTGCCCTTAAAGAGTTTGCAGCTTTCAACAAAATGAGATAAGAACATTGTGGTTGAAATGATACTGTAAAGCACCTAATTTAAGTTAGGTGCTCAGAAATAGTACCCGTTGTGATTATTGTTGATTTTATTATGTTTTATGAACTTGAGGTTTGCCACATTTATCCACAACCCATACCCAGCAATACGTCCCTCCTTTTTGATAGCATTAAATTGTTCCTTTACCTATCTGTCACCACCCCCACCCCCACCCACTGTGGGCTGTAAGCACCTTTTAAAATCAGGGATAGCCTCTACATCAAACTTGCTCGCCAGCATTCATTTAAAACATATAAGATAGATATAGATAGATAGATAGATAGATAGATAGATAGATACATACATACATACATACATACATACATACATACACACATACATACATAGATTTAGAAACAGATATAGATGTAAATTTGCATAGAGCATATTTTTTAATGGGCATTCAATCAAAGGAATATTTCAAAGTTTCTTTCTTCGTAGTTTCTTGGCTTCTGTTTTTAATTCCTTTACTAACTATTGTCTGGGAGCACCCAATCTCTCACTCTCCTTCATCTTCTCAATGTAGAGCTCAGCAAACCTAATCCTTGCCTTTCTCCAGATCATGATGTTCTTTTTAAAAAACCCTCTTCACAGCATGGAGAGCAGTCAGGGTAGTATATAAGTGGGCTCCTCCAAGAATCTTCTTATCTCAATCAAAATATTTGCATTTCAATATCCCTGAAATTGAGGGTGTGTTGAGTGTGTCCTCATAATCCATATCATATGATGCCCATGGAAGGTAAAGTCCTCCGTCAACTGACCTGGTAGGATGCTTGTTCCTACCAATCTACATGCACTCCAAATCACCACAGCCTGGAAAAATATATATATCATTTAATACAGATCAGTGACTAATTAATACCCAATTCTTGTCAGGCTCCCCTCAAAGAATATAATAAACCTCCCCGGCACACTTGTGTAATCTGATCCCAGCTGGGCTTTCAGTCAATCTTTATTCGCTCTCAGATGACTTTTATTCTCCTTCTTCCCTGTAGCTATTTTGCACTCGTGTCTGCTCTCCACATCCGGCCTAGCCTCTCTTGTTCTCTCAACCCTTGACCTTTGGAGGGCACCAGTAAAAACATAAATGCATCTAAGAGAAAATGTTTCAGATCTTTTCTCTTAACTCTCCCCCAAGCACAAAAATGTCCAACCAAGATTTGGAGGTCAAACTTCCTTAATCTTCTTTGATAGTGATCAATCAGACGCCCATGGACTCCCTCCCTTCCCTGTGGCTGCATTGAATGTCTCTTCCATCTTTAGTCATTCAAGTGTCATCCACTGTGCACAGCTCCCAGGCTGAAGCATAAACTCGTACAAAAGCCACTTTGCTTGCTATGCCCACTCAGGCCTACATTTTCTCTCTTCCCCTCCCATCCACTCAATAGAGCAATGCTTACTCTATCATCTCTGTGTCAGCATTTGGAAATGCCTTCTGCAACAGTCCTAGGGAGATCAACAACAGCCTCCAAATTTCTACAAGCAATGAAATATTTTATTCCACAACAATTGATATATTTATATTTCATGTACGTAAATTAGAAAGATAAATTGAAAATGAAATGCGTGAACTCACCACCCATCTAAAAACTGAAACATTAAAATGACCTTTCGTTATCACTGCATATCTCCTCACCTATGTTGTCATCTGTTTTTAAATACGTATTCTATGATACATACTTATGATATGCATAAGCATCTTTAAAATTTATATATAGAGCATAATTTTACTTAATTTTAAATTTTCTAAAAATGATTTCTTTCTATAGAACTGGACACAGCATAATACATACAAGTTTGCATGTAAAGATAGAACTGACCAACGTCTGTAATCCAGCTAAAAGTGTAATACCAATGTCAGTGTTCCATTTGATTTTGTAGCGTCATGTAAAATGCCATCAGTGTCTCCAGAGGAATGTTTAATCTCAAAGGCAATGTTTTATTTTGTTATGTGTACAAACCTGTGGCCAAAAACTAGTTTATAACTTGAGGGGCACTTCAAATGTTAAACTAAAAGAAATTCAAATATTTAATATAAATTTTAAAATGTATTGAATAATTTCCACATATATGGAACTATGTTAGAGACATAAACATTATATATACACATCATTATATATATAATTATATAGGCTCTCTATATATTATATGTATAATTAATGTTCTAATATAGTTATTTATAATTTATTTTATTTTATTTTTCTTCAATCTTCCCAGGTATTTATCTGTTCCACTAGTTTTTGTTTTTCTATCAACATTTGGCTCTCTTGACCCTTTTTGTGGTATTTTCTCTTTTGTTAATTTCTACTGTCATCTTGGTTATTATTTTCTTCCTTCGATTTTTTTTGGTTATTTTGCTGTACTCCTTCTACTTTATAATGTAGTTGCTTAGCTTATTAACTTTCAGCTATTTTTTGTAAATGTTCTTTTAAATCTTTCTATAACTGCATCTCCTAAGTTTCTATACATAATTTTATTATCTCTCAATTCTGGGTATTTCTTTAAATTTTTATTGGGAGTTTATTTTTGATGTGTATTTATTTAGAACTTTTTTTAAAAAATTCAAATGTATGTGGATTTAAAATATCTTTACTATTATACTTTTTAGTTGCTCTGTACCCGAGACTTTAAACAATATGGAACAGATTCCTTAAATGTGCCTATATTTGTTATATTGACTAGAATGGGGTTGTAGCAAACGTTGCTGATAGTTTAGCCTTATTGCGTCTTCCTCTCCACTTCAGTTTTCTTGATTTCCAACTGCCAGCACCTGCTTGCCTGTAAACTTCTTTCGATGGCCATGGCCTCTGCAATGACCTGTGCAATGGCTGAGCTGGAACAAGAGGTGTTCCAGAATTTGCAGCCCCCAAGGAACAGCACTCAACCAATGACTGATGGGAGTTAGTCTATCAATTTTCCAGCTCCATCGTCCCTGTGTGGAAGAACTCAGATGCATGTTTTATGCTGTCCATTTCTCAGCAAGAACAAGCTCCATTTACTCTTGCTGATAACTGCTTTAAAACTCAGTGCTTTAGTTTTCCTTTTCCTATCTCACTTTCCATTTCTTTATCAGTGTTTCCTTCCCCTCATAAGTAAAGTACTGGTACTAACATATTTATCTCAAATTCTATTTCTGAAAAAATGTAATGCAAAGACCATGGCGAACTGAAAATTGTGTATGTTCTTGAGAACGTGAGTTCTCTTGTAGGTGTAAAAAAAATAAAAAGCATGTAGTTTATGCTATACAGATGGCTTATTTAGTTGTATGTATGTTGCTTAAATGCTTGACTGCCAAGAGAGTTGTATTACAACCCCCATATTTGATAGTGTAGTTTATATTTTTCCTTGTAATGATACAATTATTTTCCTTTATCTTATTTGATATTAATTTATTCCATGCATTTAAGATGATAACTGTTACATTTTCCTGCTAAATTGAACCTTTTATCACACATTTTATCCTTCAAATGTCTAAAAATGCTTTTATTATTAAAGTTTGTTTTGTCTAAAATTGTTATATTTCATAACTTTCTTGTGGTTAGTATTTTCTAAGTTTAACCCCTTACTTTCAACCGTCCTTCAGTGGTAGGTCTGTTACTTTCACATAAATTATAACTGGGAATTTCTGGAGGACAGTTGTTTTGCTCATTTTATTTCAATAGGTGATTCTAGGCCATTATTTGTTGATCATTGGTATACATCACCTTTTAAATTTTCAACAATACATTTTGCTTCTGTCCTTCTTTTCCTATCCCTCGCCTCTATTCTTGCCTTTCCTCCACTCTTTTGAGGGGGAGGTAGTCTAAATATGAATATTTGTTTCCACCTTGTTTTAGAATATTTTCAAACTTATCCATTGGACTTCAATTCTATTGTGCATTACTCTTGTGCCTTGTAGCATGCTTATTTACCACTTAAAGCTACCATCTCGTCCTTCCCAAGCACCACAATGGGCCCTCCCCCTTGCCTGGGGTATTCCTGTTCTCATACTTCTGCTCGGAGTCTCTACTCTCCACTGATTCTTCCTCTTTTTTGTAAGTCTTCTACAGAAGGTAGACTTCAAGGTGAACATTCAACAGAAATTTCTGGAGGATAAACCCGTTTGGTGAAAATTACAATGAATTAAAACATTTGAGCTTGTTTGAAGGCATCTAGGTAGAGTTAGGACAACAAACGGCAGAGAGATAGACACAAGAGGCACAGCCCTGGGTGTCACTGGCATATTAGTGATATGTGAAACTAAGAAATGTGTGGTGTGGTCCAGCGAGAGAAGAAATGCAGTATGAGATAGAACCCAGGAAAATTCTAATATTTATTTAAGTCATGGTGTAATAGGGTGAAAATGTCAGTTTTGAGCTTGGTGTGTCCATCCTAATCTTTATGTTTTAATCTGGCACATCCTTATTTTATTGCATGTGTAAAATAAAATGTCTTGCCAGTATCCTTCCATCTTTCCTTCACTATTTATTTTAGAGTCTCAGGTGTCATGATGAAAAACCTAAATGGATGTGAGCAATGAAGAACTTTAGGCTCTTGGTGGTGCAGATGTTGACATTAAAGACTGATTCTTACATGCCTCTGCAAAGGAGAAACAAGAGGTGTAAAATCAGAATCTGCACTATAATAACAGATTTTCTGAAGGCCAACAATGGATAGGGAGTCTGGTGAAAAGAATGTGGGTGAGAGGTGAAGCCAGATTGTAGAGACAGCTGAATGCCCGAAAAGGACATACTAAATGTTAAATGGCAGAAATTATTCATAAGGGAAAAGACATAACAAAAAAACGTATTTTAGGTATATTCAAATAGCATAAAGAAAGGGACAGTTGGAGATAGCTAAGACAGTCCCAAAGTTATGTCAGTATATGGCACCCAGTATGATGAGGCCACAGATAAAGATAATGTTAAATGAAATAAAGTCTGGAGAGATTTGCTGTGGAATATATTTCTAAGGAAGAATCCAGAGGTCTTCATGATTTTTCCTCTTCCAAATGAGATAGAGGGTCAATGAAAGCAAAAGATGTCTGGCCTGGGAAAATGAAAGAATGTGGAATCAGTCACAGGAATAAAAGAGGAGCTGTTTTTGGGGGGGCAAACCCCACACTCCTTTATCAGCTGTTTCTTGAGGCTCTACTGTCCTCAAGTCTTGTGACCATATGGATGAATAAAACATAGAGTAAAATCCCGCGGAGTCAGGAGGACTCTGAAGTGCTGAGAGAAACACCATCAAAACTGTGGCCCAGCTTTGAGAGGGGTCGGAGCTCAGTGTTGCATGGGCCCTGCAAGCAGCCAGCGCTCACCATGTCTACAGAACAGGTACATGACACACATCCTCTTATGACTGTCTGAAATGGGTCAGAATTACATTTGCTGAGAGCTTCATCTGGGGTGAAACCTGGAACTATGTCTTCACAATTTCAAATCAGTAATCATGAAGTAAAATATATTTTCTCACACCCTTTCTTGACAGTTTATGGGATGGGGAACACTAGTTGTTTGCCTAAAGCCAGATATTTTCTAAGCTGAATGAAACCTCACTTTTTTATACGTAAATATAAGAAAAGGGTAACTAAACAAAGGTGAACATTAAAAGGAAAAATGCGTTTCTGACCTCCTCTTCTTGTAAATAAAAAGAGTCAAAAATAATGCAATATATTTATGATATGGTTGATGGTCTAGTTCACTTTATTAGCCTGTCATGTTCATTAAAATGTAATTGACAGATTGATTTATATCCTGTGTGGTCTGTGAAGGCTTTGAGACCAGAAGTATGCACAATACCAAACAAAATTTAAAGGATGAAGGAAGAAAAGTAGGAAATTAATTTTCATCCAAGGGAGAGATTAATCATGAAATGCATACCATAATGTCTTACGCATTTGTTAACTTTGGAAGACAAATACAGGTCTGGCTTTTTAGCAGCTGGAGAAAAGAGAAGAAATGTCAAATAAAATTCAAAGACCCTGTATCAGGTTAAAACAAGTGCATAGATTTTATTGTTACCAAGTTCCAATACAACTTTCTTAACAAATACAGTCCCAGTGTCTTCATTTTAATCCATTCCTTCCCCTCCAGTTTCCAGGGCTGCTATTTTACTCTCCAACAAAGACAAGCCTCTTTTTTTCTGCTATTAAAAACAGGATCTACCATTTTCTCAAGCTGTGATCATGCGTTATTAACATGTGGGTCAAAACTTCCTTTCCCCAAGCTCTCACCTTTCTGTCACCAATTCCCCACTCAACATCTCAATTACTGTGGCTCTAAATTACAAGCAATAAAAAGTTCTGGTGGAAAGAGAAATTACCCCTCTAAGGTGTGTTTTTATGACAACTGCTCAGAAAAGGCAAAGTGGCCATTTATTAAGGTACAACCTCTCACTCCATCATGTCTGCCTGGGTTCTGGGCATCAATATTGATCAATGGCTGTGTCTTGGTCATTGTTAATGTTTCCGTGTTGATTTTTTGCAGGGTGTGCAATAATTTAATGAGGAAAAATTACATAGCTTAAGAAAGACAGTTGTTGGGATGGATTGCCATAGTAACAAGGAGGTATAACAGGGATTCAGAAAGAAAGTAAAGGTCCCTTAACTTATACCATAAAATTTCAAATACTTTGGGAAGGATCATATAGTAAGCCATTTAGAGAGTGCCGAATTTCTTTAAAAATGAATAATAAATAATAAAAATCATTTCAGTGCGTATGATGAACAAACATAGGCATTTTTAAGCTTTTTTTGTACAAACCCAGATTCTTGAAATTAATGTTCCCTCATTTGTTTTTCTTTCAAAAAGATCTGTTAATATCTAAATCAAATTCTTCTTCTCAAAAATATTAAGCAGTAAATTATAAATAATTGTCTTATAGAGACAGCAGCCATTGGATTTAGGTGCTGTCATTGTGCTATGATAGCAGAGTATAACATGTTTGAGGTATCTAATGTTTCAGGTTTTGAGTTCGGCTTTTTTTGATGCAGTTTGCTTTGATAAAAGATTATAACATTTCCTTTGTTTAATTCCTATATATTAGGCATAGTATAATGGGAAGGCAAAAAGTCCTGGATTTCTGTATAGGTGGGTTTGAGTTTTTGCTCTATCATTTATTATACTGATAAAGCAGGGTAAGTTACTAACCTCTCTGGCTTTTTCTCAGTTATAACAATGGAGCAATGTAGCCAACCTCACCAGCTCATTAAAAGAGTTGACATAAGATACATGAAGCTGATGCTATTGGTCCCTGTCCATGTCTTTTCAACCTACTCAGGAGGTGACCTTGAACAATTTCCAGCCCTGCCAACGGCATCCAGCATCTATCCTTTCCATCTTTTCTCTTTCTTTTTTTTCTTTCTTTCTTTTTTCTTTCTTTCCTTCTTTCTCTCTCTTTCTTTCCTTCTTTTCTTTCTTCCTTCCTTCTCTCTCTCTTCCTTTCTTCCTTTTTCCTTCCTTCCTTCCTTCCTCCCTCCCCTCTTCCCTTCCTTTCCCTTCCTTCTTTTTTTGATGGAATTTCACTCTTCTTGCCCAGACTGGAGTGCAGTGGTGCAATTTCGGCTCACCACAACCTCTGCCTCCTAGGTTCAAGTGATTCTCCTGCCTCAGCCTCCCGAGTAGCTGGGATTACAGGCATGTGCCACCATGCCTGGCTAATTTTTTGTATTTTAGTAGAGACGGGGTTTCTCCATGTTGGTCAGGCTGGTCTCGAACTCCTGACCTCATGTGATCCACCCGTTCCGGCCTCCCAAAGTGCCAGGATTACAGGGGTGAGCCACCGCGCCTGGCTTGCATCCAGCATCTTTCTACCTGAGGGTCCTCTCTGCCCCTGGGAGAGTGCCAGGCACACACGGGGACAGGCTGCAGGTAACACCCCAGGATCAACCTCAACCAAGAAGGGATAAGCATGGGTGCAAAAGCCCCAGTCCCCTTTCTCTCTGTGAGACAGCTCCACACAATCTCTTAGGGAGACCCCAAGGGGATTGAGCTCTAGATGTCCACAGAGATCTCCTGCCACTTACTGCACTCCTTGTTGATATCCCTCCCTCCCTGATCTCCCTTCCCCATTCCCTCACACTGCTTCCTAGGATCACTGACCAAATGAATTCCTTCCATACAAATGCTTGCCTCAATACCGCTTGACTCAGGGTCTGCTTCTCATAAACCCTGAGCTAAGACTTCCCATGTGGTACTTGACAGGAGCAGGTGCGCCATAGCATAGCGTCTTGTGGTGCCTCTACTCCTCTCTAAGTAGCATTTCTCATCAGCATATGGTAGAAAGAGTCCTGATTTCCTTAAGTAAGTTTATATATCCAGAACTAGGTAAATTTGATGACTCTTCTACTTAGGATTTGCTACAAAAAAAAAAAAATACAAAGAATTCTAGACCAACTGTGTAAACAATTTTCTTTATTTCTAATTGTTCAAATATGGCAAGGTCTAAGTTATTGTTCATTTGAAGCAGACCCCCCACAACCAATTTCTTTAGTTTTATTTATCTAGCGTAAGAATTTCTAAATCTTTAGATATTGTGACATGCTCTAATGTTAGGCCATGGATTTCTCTGCACAATTAAAGAAAACACTGCGATTGAGATTAAAATATACCCTGAATAAAGTAGAAGAGAATCTAGGCTAAATTGTTTACCTAGCCTTGCCCACCTGCTTATGAGATGATTGATAGTGAAGTCCACTGTATACTCTGCAAGTATCCATGTCCGTTATTAACTTCTGTTCAAGAAAATATATTGACCACCTACCATGTGTTAGACACTGCTGGAAACTAGATGAATAAAACATCTAATTTTTTGTCCCTCATATCAAAAGTATAAACACACAATTAAAATGCAAGGATGTTTGTGCTGTGGCTAAGTAGACACAGGACACTGTAGGAATGAATATATTACTACATAAAGTTAGGTCCCATATTCACATATTTCAGGTAAACTGGGCTTCCCTTTCATAAAGTTTGTTGCTGGGTGTCTATCCTCGTTCTTGGAATTCACGCACCCTTAAAGCAGGCATCCCAACTGTCTAATCACTACTCTGACTGGAATGTAGTAGGAGTCCAGTGTATTTTTTTGTTGAATGGATGACATTTTTGAAGAAAATTTTTGACCTAGAGAACATTTTTAATCTGATTAAGACAGATGCTCAATAGACCACAATATATCTAGATAGTTTCAAAAACAGACTAGAAATGTGTTAAATGAAAGCAGTTTTATCACACCATCCCTGGGTGTAAATTAAAAACAAAGGCTCAAAATTAGGTACTTTGAATAGTGTTTTTGCTCCTGGGAAATTTTTAGAGACAAATCTATATTCTTTTTTATGAGCTGAATATATTCATGGTGGACAACTAAATAAGTGATTAAAATGTCACTGTTACAACACATGTGTAGTGATATTTTGTAGACCTCAACAAAATATGCTCATTGTACAACACCTTCCCATTAAATTTAATGGGTAACCTTTAGAAATTCGAAGTCAGAACGTGTGTCTTTGTGGTGCTACATGACACCTGGAATGTATGAGGGTACAGAGGTAGTAAATGATGGTGATGTTTGCTTCTAAATACATATTTGCTGTTGTGATTCCCAAGATGATACAAAGCGTAAAAGAAGTCATTCTGCAATGCAAGACAAAATCATTTCTGATGGTGTATGTTGACATTCATCAAATTCTATCATGTTTTTAGACTATGAAATCAGGCATTATGCTTTTTTCAATAAAATGTGATCTGTTATTTTTCATCTTTTTAGTTGCTGTTCTGGACTTTTTCCCTAACGTACAAATACTGTATTAATGCATGATTCTTTAGGTGTTTTTGAATTAGTAGGAAAGAAACATAAACAAGAAATAAGCAAAACAACAAATAGACTTATAACTATTTACTACATATGAATGCAATAGATTTCTTTTATTGTAAAGTTATGGTTTTTTAATATGAGAAATTTTTTGCCCTTTTTCCTATTTTATCAGTAACATAATGGTCAAAAATAAAAGTTTTCTTTGATTCATGTTACATATAATAAGTTCAACTTCCTCAAATGAAATGTATTATCATGGAATGTTAGGCTTCCTTAAAGATCATCTGGCTGCTGAAGTCTTACTCATTGCTCTTGTTCTAAAGGGATTGTGGGGTGAAGGTTGATGGACATGGACCTGGGATCTGAGAACTGAAATAAACTTAGTTAAGGTCCCAAGTAATAAGTTACTCTTCAAAAATGTCAAAACTTTATTGCATCCAACACTTTGCCTATTCCCCTTTATTCCACACACCACATGAAGCTTCCCTTATTGAATTATCTTAAGGGAAAAGCAGAACAAAACCAGGCAGTATCACTTAGATATCTTCATATAAGGACTGGTATTCCTAAAATAGTAGTGGCATAATTTAGTTCTGGTCCAGGCTGCCTCAAAAACATCATAATATATTAGACGAGGTTTGTGGTCAGAGAGAGCTCAGGTCCAATTCTATCTTTCCAGTTACCTGCATTGCCTTCAGCAATTTACTAACATCTCTGAAGCCCAGTTTTCCTGTCACCATTTTCTGGCTTCTGTCTATTATTGCATTAAATCATTAAGAGAAAAAAAATCACAAAATTTAAATATAGCCATTAAACATAAAAAGGACACTGAAATGCACATTTAAAATGTAATATGCAATAGCATAGTGGTTATAGAATGAGGTTAAGAGACACATTGGCATGTTTAAAGTTAGGCTGTGCAACTCCCTAACTCTGCTCAGAACTCTTCCTCTCTGAGCCTCGGATTTCTCAACAGTAAAAAGGGCACATTTGTATCTACCCAAAAGGGCTGTTGTAAAGCAGAAGTGAAAAAATAACATGTGATGTGAGCAGAACCTCAGAGAGCTGGCTCATAGCAAGTGTTCACTGGATGATTGTAATTATGATAAAATACTGTTTTACAATATTTTGTTATCATTATTGCTCCAGAGAAATAAATCTCTTTCCAAAGCAGACATCCTTATTTCAACTTTTGCACACTGGCTTTAATAAATATTTTTATATAAAGATTATATACAGGAGTAAGGGGCTGAATTTCTCAAAGGTTTAGGATGCTCACTGCATGCCCAATCCTGCCTTTGTAAGCACTGGTTGAATACTTGCCCAAAGTCGAATCATGTTAGACCAATGAACTTTCTGTTCACAGCCTCCATTTCCTCATCTCCTGATAAGAACCCAACTGTGATGGAGCACAAAAGCATGGAGCAGCACGGGGCTGTGAAGAGGCCCCCACACCACCTAAAGATAGTTCTGAATTCAGGAAAACAGTACAATGTAAGCATTTTCTCAGGTTTGGCCTCAACTCCTCTCTCAGCCAAAACTTTAGGGAAAAAATTATCTTCGTAAAGAGACAGCGTTCTTTAAATCGGAAAGTGTCTATATTCCTGCGTAACAATGGTGCCTGCTAGAAGCAGCCACAAGCCCTTACAACAAACATTCAGACAGAGCTAAGCTGATCAAAACACGGCATAAAAAAGAATCCCAACATGTTCTTTCCTGCTGCTTCCACATAAAAAGGTGAACAAGATTGATAGAAAAATAACTTTGGGTGGATGTTAGGCATAAATTATCATTTTCTGATAAAACTATGTAAAAATCTCCCTTAGAAAAACTTCTACATGTGTGAAAGCTGACAACCTGTTAATTACAATAAAATGTATTCAAGGTCTGCTTCAAATGCTTCTTTTTTTTTTTAATACTTGAAGTTTTAGGGTACATGTGCACAACATGCAGGTTTGTTACATATGTCTACATGTGCCATGTTGGTGTGCTGCACCCATTAACTCATCATTTAACATTAGGTATATCTCCTAATGCTATCCCTCTCCCCTCCCCCCCATCCCACAACAGGCCCCAGTGTGTGATGTTCCCCTTCCTGTGTCCATGTGTTCTCATTGTTCAATTCCCACCTATGAGTGAGAACATGCAGTGTTTGGTTTTTTTGTCCTTGCAATAGTTTGCTGAGAATGATGGTTTCCAGCTTCATCCATGTCCCTACAAAGGACATGAACTCATCCTTTTTTATGGCTGCATAGTATTCCATGGTGTATATGTGCCACATTTTCTTAATCCAGTCTATCATTGTTGGACATTTGGGTTGGTTCCAAGTCTTTGCTATTTTGAATAGTGCCGCAATAAACATACGTTTGCATGTGTCTTTATAGCAGCATGATTTATAATCCTTTGGGTATATACCCAGTAATGGGATGGCTGGGTCAAATGGTATTTCTAGTTCTAGATCCCTGAGGAATCACCACACTGACTTCCACAATGGTTGAACTAGTTTACAGTCCCACCAACAGTGTAAAAGTGTTCCTATTTCTCCACATCCTCTCCAGCACCTGTTGTTTCCTGACTTTTTAATGATTGCCATTCTAACCGGTGTGAGATGGTATCTCATTGTGGTTTTGATTTGCATTTCTCTGATGGCCAGTGATGATGAGCATTTTTTCATGTGTCTTTTGGCTGCATAAATGTCTTCTTTTGAGAAGTGTCTGTTCATACCATTTGCCCACTTGTTGATGGGGTTGTTTGTTTATTTCTTGTAAATCTTTTTCAGTTAATTGTAGATTCTGGATATTAGGCCTTTGTCAGATGAGTAGATTGCAAAAATTTTCTCCCATTTTGTGGGTTGCCTGTTCACTCTGATGGTAGTTTCTTTTGCTGTGCAGAAGCTCTTTAGTTTCATTAGATCCCTTTTGTCAATTTTGGCTTTTGTTGCCATTGCTTTTGGTGTTTTACACATGAAGTCCTTGCCCATGCCTATGTCCTGAATTGTATTGGCTAGGTTTTCTTCTAGGCTTTTTATGGTTTTAGGTCTACCATTTAAGTCTTTAATCCATTTTGAATGAATTTTTGTATAAGGTGTAAGGAAGGGATCCAGTTTCAGCTTTCTACTTATGGCTACCCAGTTTTCCCAGCACCATTTATTAAATAGGGAATCCTTTCCCCATTTCTGGTTTTTGTCAGGTTTCTCAAAGATCAGATGGTTGTAGATATGTGGCATTATTTCTGAGGGCTCTGTTCTGTTCCATTGGTCTATATGTCTGTTTTGGTATCAGTACCATGCTGTGGTGGTTACTGTAGCCTTGTAGTATAGTTTGAAGTCAGGTAGTGTGATGCCTCCAGCTTTGTTCTTTTGGCTTAGGATTGACTTGGCGATGTGGGCTCTTTTTTGGTTCCATATGAACTTTAAAGTAGTTTTTTCCAATTCTGTGAAGAAAGTCATGGGTACCTTGATGGGGATGGCATTGAATCTATAAATTACCTTGGGCAGTATGGCCATTTTCACAATATTGATTCTTCCTACCCATGAGCATGGAATGTTCTTCCATTTGTCTGTATCCTCTTTTATTTCACTGAACAGTAGTTTCTAGTTCTCCTTGAAGAGGTCCTTCATGTCCCTTGTAAGTTGGATTCCTAGGTATTTTATTCTCTTTGAAGCAATTGTGAATGGGAGTTCACTCATGATTTGGCTCTGTGTTTGTCTGTTATTGGTGTATAAGAATGCTTGTGATTTTTGCACATTGATTTTGTATCCTGAGACTTTGCTGAAGTTGCTTATCAGCTTAAGAGACTTTGGGCTGAGATGATGAGGTTTTCTAGATATACAATCATGTCATCTGCAAACAGGGACAATTTGACTTCCTCTTTTCCTAATTGAATACCCTTTATTTCCTTCTCCTGCCTGATTGCCCTGGCCAGAACTTCCAACACAAGGTTGAATAGGAGTGGTGAGAGAGGGCATCCCTGTCTTGTGCCAGTTTTCAGAGGGAATGCTTCCAGTTTTGCCCATTCAGTATGATATTGGCTGTGGGTTTGTCATAGATAGCTCTTATTATTTTGAGATACGTCCCATCAATACCTAATTTATTGAGAGTTTTTAGCCTGAAGTGCTGTTGAATTTTGTCAAAGGCCTTTTCTGCATCTATGGAGATAATCATGTGGTTTTTGTCATTGGTTCTGTTTATATGCTGGATTACATTTATTGATTTTTGTATGTTGAACCAGCCTTGCATCCTAGGGTTGAAGCCCACTTGATCATGGTGGATAAGCTTTTTGATGTGCTGCTGGATTCTGTTTGCCAGTATTTTATTGAGGATTTTTGCATCAATGTCCATCAGGGATATTAGTCTAAAATTCTCTTTTTTTGTTGTGTCTCTGCCAGGCTTTGGTATCAGGATGATGCTGGCCTTATAAAATGAGTTACGGAGGATTCCCTCTTTTTCTTTTGATTGGAATAGTTTCAGAAGGAATGGTACCAGCTCCTCTTTGTACCTCTGGTAGAATTCAGCTGTGAATCCATCTGGTCCTGGACTTTTTTTTGTTGGTAAGCTATTAATTATTGCCTCAATTTCGGAGCCTGTTATTGGTCTATTCAGAGATTCAACTTCTTCCGGGTTTAGTCTTGGGAGGGTGTATGTGTTGAGGAATTTATCAATTTCTTCTAGATTTTCTAGTTTATTTGCACAGAGGTGTTTATAGTATTCTCTGATGGTAGTTTGTATGTCTGTGGGATCGGTGGTGATATCCCCTTTATCATTTTTTATTGTATCTATTTGATTCTTCTCTCTTTTCTTCCTTATTAGTCTTGCTAGTGGTCTATCAATTTTGTTGATCTTTTCAAAAAGCAGCTCCTGGATTCATTGATTTTTTGAAGGGTTATTTGTGTCTCTATTTCCTTTAGTTCTGCTCTGATCTTAGTTATTTCTTGCCTTCTGCTAGCTGTTGAATGTGTTTGCTCTTGCTTCTCTAGTTCTTTTAATTGTGATGTTAGGGTGTCAGTTTTGGATCTTTCCTGCTTTCTCTTGTGGGCATTTATTGCTATAAATTTCCCTCTACACACTGCTTTGAATGTGTCCCAGAGATTCTGGTATGTTGTGTCTTTGTTCTCATTGGTTCCAAAGAACATCTTTATTTCTGCCTTCATTTTGTTATGTACCTAGTAGTCATTCAGGAGCAGGTTGTTCAGCTTCCATGTAGTTGAGTGGTTTTGAGTGAGTTTCTTAATCCTGAGTTCTAGTTTGATTGCACTGTGGTCTGAGAGACAGTTTGTTATAATTTCTGTTCTTTTACATTTGCTGAGGAGTGCTTTACTTCCAACTATGTGGTCAATTTTGGAATAGGTGTGGTGTGGTGCTGAAAAGAATATATATTCTGTTGATTTGTGGTGGAGAGTTCTGTAGAAGCCTATTAGGTCGCTTGGTGAAGAGCTGAGTTCAATTCCTGGATATCCTTGTTAACCTCCTGTCTCGTTGATCTGTATAATGTTGACAGTGGGGTGTTAAAATCTCCCATTATTATTGTATGGGAGTCTAAGTCACTTTGTAGGTCTCTAAGGACTTGCTTTATGAATCTGGGTGCTCCTGTATTGGGTGCATATATATTTAGGATAGTTAGCTCTTCTTGTTGAATTGATCCCTTTACCATTATGTAATGGCCTTCTTTGTCTCTTTTGATCTTTGTTGGTTTAAAGTCTGTTTTATCAGAGACTAGGATTGCAACCCCTGCCTTTTTTTGTTTTCCTTTTGCTTGGTAGATCTTCCTCCATCCCTTTATTTTGAGCCTATGTGTGTCTCTGCATGTGAGATGGGTTTCCTGAATACAGCACACTGATGGGTCTTGACTCTTTATCCAATTTGCCAGTCTGTGCCTTTTAATTGGAGCATTTAGCCTATTTACATTTAAGGTTAATATTGTTATGTGTGAATTTGACCCTGTCATTATGATGTTAGCTGGTTATTTTGCTCATTAGTTGATGCAGTTTCTTCCTAGCCTCGATGTTCTTTACAATTTGGCATGTTTTTGCCGTGGCTGGTACTGGTTGTTCCTTTCCATGTTTAGTGCTTCCTTCAGGAGCTCTTTTAGGGCAGGTCTGGTGGTGACAAAATCTCTCAGCATTTGCTTGTCTGTAAAGTATTTTATTTCTCCTTCACTTATGAAGCTTAGTTTGGCTGGATATGAAATTCTGGGTTGAAAATTCTTTTCTTTAAGAATGTTGAATATTGGCCCCCACTCTCTTCTGGCTTGCAGAGTTTCTGCCGAGAGATCAGCTGTTAGTCTGATGGGCTTCCCTTTGTGGGTAGCCTGACCTTTCTCTCTGGCTGCCCTTAACATTTTTTCCTTCATTTCAACTTTGGTGAATCTGACAATTATGTGTCTTGGAGCTGCTCTTCTTGAGGAGTATCTTTGTGGTGTTCTCTGTATTTCCTGAATTTGAATGTTGGCCTGCCTTGCTAGATTGGGGACGTTCTCCTGGATAATATCCTGCAGAGTGTTTTCCAGCTTGGTTCCATTCTCCCCGTCACTTTCAGGTACACCAATCAGACGCAGATTTGGTCTTTTCACATAGTCCCATATTTCTTGGAGGATTTGTTCATTTCTTTTTATTCTTTTTTCTCTAAACTTCTCTTCTCACTTCATTTCATTAATTTGATCTTCCATCACTGATACCCTTTCTTCTAGTTGATCGAATCAGCTACTGAGGCTTGTGCATTCATCATGTAGTTCTCGTGCCATGGTTTTAAGCTCCATCAGGTCCTTTAAGGACTTCTCTGCATTGGTTATTCGAGTTAGCCATTCGTCTAATCTTTTTTCAAGGTTTTTAACTTCTTTGCAATGGGTTCAAACTTCCTCCTTTAGCTCGGAGTAGTTTGATCGTCTGAAGTCTTCTTCTCTCAACTCATCAAAGTCATTCTCCGTCCAGCTTTGTTCCATTGCTGGTGAGGAGCTGCGTTCCTCTGGAGGAGGAGAGGCGCTCTGATTTGTAGAGTTTCCGGTTTTTCTGCTCTGTTTTTCCCCATCTTTGTGGTTTTATCTACCTTTGGTCTTTGATGATGGTGATGTACAGATGGGGTTTTGGTGTGGATGTCCTTCCTGTTTGTTAGTTTTCCTTCTAACAGTCAGGACCCTCAGCTGCAGATCTGCTGGAGTTTGCTGGAGGTCCACTCCAGACCCTGTTTGCCTGGGTATCGGTAGTGGAGGCTGCAGAACAGCGGATATTGGTGAACAGCAAATGTTGCTGCCTGATCGTTCTTCTGGAAGTTTTATCTCAGAGGAGTACCCGGCCGTGTGAGGTGTCAGTCTGCCCCTACTGGGGGGTGCCTCCCAGTTAGGCTACTCGGGGTCAGGGACCCACTTGAGAAGGCAGGCTGTCTGTTCTCAGATCTCACGCTATGTGCTGGGAGAACCACTACTCTCTTCAAAGCTGTCAGACAGGGACATTTAAGTCTGCAGAGGTTTCTGCTGCCTTTTGTTTGGCTATGCCCTGCCCCCCGAGGTGGAGTCTACAGAGGCAGGCAGGCCTCCTTGAGCTGTGGTGGGCTCCACCCAGTTCGAGCTTCCCAGCTGCTTTGTTTACCTACTCAAGCCTCGGCAATGGCAGGCTCCCCTCCCCCATCCTCACTGCCACCTTGCAGTTTGATCTCAGACTGCTGTGCTAGCAATGAGTGAGGCTCCATGGGCGTAGGACCCTCCGAGCCAGGCGCAGGATATAATCTCCTGGTGTGCCATTTGCTAAGACCATTGGAAAAGCACGGTATTAGGGTGGGAGTGACCCAATTTTCCAGGTGCCATCTGTCACCCCTTTCCTTGGCTAGGAAATGGAATTCCCTGACCCCTTGTGCTTCCCGGGTGAGGCAATGCCTCACCCTGCTTCAGCTCACACTTGGTGCACTGCACCCACTGTCCTGCACCCACTGTCTGACAATCCCCAGTGAGATGAACCCAGTACCTCAGTTGGAAATGCAGAAATCACCCATCTTCTGCATCGCTCACACTGGGAGCTGTAGACTGGAGCTGTTCCTATATGGTCTTCTTGGCTCTACCCCCCCAAATGCTTCTTATAAGCTATGGGCTCATTGTGAAGGCCCTCTATTCAAAAGTAGCCTCCATAAAACAGTCAAGTTAAGCTGGCCCTTTACAATGCTTTTCTCACCCTAAAACCTCTCCAAGGATAGTGTGCCTGGTGGGCCTTCTGGAGTTGGGAACATTTTTTAAAAATTCTAATCTTCTCAGAAAGTCCAGACTCCTCTCTTGATTTCATGAGTCAATTTTCCTGTCCAAGAAATTTTTTTTGTAAATTTTTTCTGGCATTTTTTCACTCTAATAATTTGATAAAGCTGAAACACAGTTACATTTAAAAAGAATGCACTAATCAGTAATTAAGCAGAATCCATGTTTCAATGAGACATTTTGACTGTCTCCAAAGAGGCCCAGAGAAAGGACTGAACCTCTAAAAATTCATTTCACCAAAATTGCACTAGCTACAAATACTTTGTGAACATGATGCATTTTCTAACTTTACCAAATGTATTAGACTTTTGCAGACACAATTTTTATCTGCTAGGATTTTTTCCCTTAGGGAAATTCTACAACCTCAAGACTAAATTGAAAGTTGTATGTGAAAAAGAAATCAAAATATATTTTCTATTCATTGTATAATATGTGATTTTTATAAAAAGTAATTATGTTTGAGATTATTGGAAGAGAACTTATAGAGCTCTTCCTTCCATAACTGAACAAATGCACAAAGACACAGAATTACATGTGATCTGATGACAGCAGTGTAAATTTTCTCTTTGTATATGATAATCTCTTTGGCACGGAAGTGAATGCATTCCAAAATTATTCAAAGTAAATGTATCTCAAAACGTTAATTCTATGTAAATCTCTTGTCTTAGAACTTGTGTGCAGGGTATCTAAATTTAAGAATAATTAAAATTTAGATTGGCAATATTTCTTTAATTATCTGCCTATACTTGGAAGTCTTCAATAAAATTAAAACAATATTAAAATTCTGAATTAGTAGGTTGTATATATATGTAGGTAGATATAGGGTTGTGGGTTTTGTGTGTGTGTGTGTGTGTGTGTTATTCCTAATTAAGTAGAATAGAGAGCCAATGAAGGTCAAGGTATGAGGTAATAATTTCTGAATAATAACACCCCTAAACTCAATGCATTAAAAAATCAACCAAAAATTTAGTTCATAAGTCTGCAGCTTGGTCATTTAGGCACGGTTCAGCTAAGCAGTTTCTCTATTCAGTATCAGGCTCTGGTGCACTCAACTAAGCTTTCTCATGCATCTGTGGTCAGCTGGTAGGTTGTCTAGAGCTGGCAGGTTTTTGATGGTCTCAAGTGGGCCAGTTAGAATAATGGGAGACCTCCATATGATCCCTCTTTCTACACAAGTCATGTTCACATGAAGGGCTCAGGGTTCCTAAGATAGCAAACAAGCCTTAACACCAAATACCTCCAATCTCTGCATCATGTTTGCAATGTCTTATTGGCTAATGCCAGCTGAATGGCTAAATTGAGATTCAAAGGCATGGACACAGTCAAGTATGAATGAATTGGGCCCATTTCTTTAATCAGTTGGCCATAGACTAAGAGTCTCCTGGGCTACAATACGTTTGAGCGAGGAACCCAGGGTAGGGCAGGTGAAGGACATTTATATAGTCTATCACTCAACAAGCATGCATTGTATACCAAGTGCTGTGGTTTGAATAAATGCCTCCTCCCCTCAAGAATTTATGTCTACCTGGAACCTCAAAATGTACTTTGTTTGGAAATAGAATTATCGTAGCTGTGATTAGTTAAGATGAGGTCATACTGGATTAGTTTGGGTCCTAAATTGAATGATTGGTGCCTTATAGGAAGAAGGCATGGCACAAGACACACACACACACATACACACACACACACACACACACACACACACACACACAGGGAAAACACTGTATAACAATGGAGACAAAGACTGAAAGGATTCAGCTGCAAGCCACAGAACACCAAGGATTGCCAGGAATCAGCAGAAGCCAGGGAAAGACAAGGAAGGGCTTTCTTTCAAAACCCTTCAGAAACAGCATGGAGCTGCCAACTGACACTTTCATTTCAAATCGTTATCCTAAAGAGCTGGGAGAGAATAAAAACCTGTTGTGTGTTTTTTTTATTTCTATTTTAAAATAAATTATATTGTGTATATTTAAGGTTTACAACATGATACTATGGGATATATATGTAGATACAAATAAGTACTATAATGATGAAGCAGATTAACATATGATCTCATTTTTGTGACATGAGCAGGTAAAATCTACTTATTTTACAAAAATTCCTAATACAATACAATTTTATTAGTCGTGTTACACATTAGATCTCTAGACTTGTTCATCTTACATATCTGCTACTTTGTATCCTTTTACCTACATCTCCCCATTTCTTCTCACCCTACCACCCATAACTTCTGTTTCATGCTCTATCTTTGTGTATGATCTCACTTATATATGAAATTTTTTTTAAAAAGCTGCTATGTCAAGCCACCCAGTGTGTGGTAATTTGTTATACCAACCCTGATAAATGACATCTATTAAGCACCATCCACTGTTTTAAGAGCTGAGATTACACCACTAAACAAAATACCTGGCCTCATGAAATTTATTTTCTAACTGGGTAAGACACGATAAACAAAATAAGGAAGACATTTATATGCAAAATGTATATATTAAAAGCTAACACATGCAATGGAAAAATTAAGCCAGGAAGAATGATGAAAAATGCTGCTGAGATGGTTACAATTTTCCATAGTGTGGTCATGAAAGAGTTTATTCAGAATGTGGCATTTAAACAGACATGTGGCAGTTAAGTGTGGTGGCTATAAGAATCTCTGGGGAAAGAGCTCCAAGGCAAAGAGGACAATAAAGGCAAGGGTCCTAAGATGAGAATGTGCCTGGAGTAATCAAGGAGGCCAGTGTGAGCAGCTAAGCCAGTGCAGGGAAGCTGGTGAGCAGAGCAGTTCATGTCCTTAGGTTGAGGCCCAGCATGGTCTGCCCTATACAGAGAGAGGATGAGGCCAGCACATATGGTCAATTTTACTCTTTTCTATTTTTGTCCTATTCTTTCTTTTCCAAGTTTATCTCTAAGATACTAATTTTTTTTTTTTTTTTTTTTTTTGAGATGGAGTCTTGCTCTGTCGCCCAGGCTGGAGTGCAGTGGCACAATCTCGGCTCATTGCAAGCTCCGCCTCCCGGGTTCACGCCATTCTCCTGCCTCAGTCTCCCTAGTAGCTGGGATTACAGGCGCCCGCCATCACGTCCGGCTAATTTTTTGTATTTTTTAGTAGAGACGGGGTTTCACCGTGTTAGCCAGGATGGTCTCGATCTCCTGACCTCATGATCCACCCGCCTCGGCCTCCCAAAGTGCTGGGATTACAGGCGTGAGCCACGGCGCCTGGCCTAAGATATTAATTTATGAGAGAAATCTTGAGGAAAATGGAATCATGCCTCATAGTGGAAAAAAAATTTTAGACTCAAATAGATCTTGGTTTGAACGGCAACTCCACTATTTCCTGAGTAATTTAGTGAATGCTATTTTTCCTATTACCTCATCTATAAAATTGGAAGAATAACACCTTCTGGACAGTGCTACTGAGAAGAGTCAACTAGTTAAACCATATAAAAGTGCCAGTTACAGAGCAAGCATCTAACAAAAGGGAATGCTTATCATGACTGGTTGATTATGATCAGTGTAGACAGCTCAGTAGACTCATTAGAGGCTGCATTCTTGTCTGACGTGTCCTCATACTGCTCTCCTGACAGTCTCCAGCTCTTTGTTTAGTAAGTATCAGCAAAGTACAAATCCTGTGAATTATTAAAGAGAGGAATGAGTAAGTAGATAATGAACCTCAGGGTGTGTCTTCTGGTCCCTGTTGTCCGGCTCTTCTAGTTTGTAAACACCTTGAAGTGTTCTTTATGCTCCTCTGCAAATAATGCCATTAATTGAATTGAATCCAGTAGACAAGACAGGAAACCTGTGCTATAATGTTTGAGCACTGCTATACTTCTTTTATTTTGAAGCTTCATGAACTCTTTCTTCCTCAGTTCATGAGATGCCATTAATATTGCCAGATGATTTCTTAAAATTGCTTAAGGTTAGAAAGAAAAAGAAGGAGCTGGTGCTATCATAATACAAACTTGGAATTTCTTAAAAGCAGTCAGGTACATAATTGAAAACCAATTGAATGTTCTAATCCATATGCATGAAAAACAATTTGCATTGCTTCATTATTTAAAAGCAGTGTAAATATGAGGATGTGGTAGGAATTTACTTGAGGAGTATTCTTCTGAGAATATTCATACAAAATGAAGCTTAACTCTTTTTAGACCTTGAAAATATATTTTGGAAAGGCCTAAACACTAAATAGTCTGAATTTTGATATTAATTTCAGAGAAATAAACACTATATTGGAACTAAACATGTCTGCTTTCTACTTAAAAACAGAATTCCAATTTCAAGAATACTTCCCCTAGACTAAGAAAAACAGGCAATTCAATATTCAAAATAACTTATTTCGCAGCCTCTGTAAGTCACAATACACTCTGTAAGTTGTATTATGATTTGTAAGTCATCTCTCTAACTGCCTGATTGATAATTCCTGAACCACTGTTGATTCAGGAAAAAAAAAAAAAAGGAATTTAATGGTAGAAAATGAACAGAATTGCAGAACATCACCATCCCCCATTCCTAATATTAAAGTTTCTAATCTGAGTCAAACCCCGTGATAGACATTTTGACATATGTTTTACTACTTAATTTACATGTAATTCAAATAGTTGTGTATTCTCTCCATATGGTCTTGTTTGCTCTGCTTCTGAAATATTCTATTGTATCAGTACTATGAGATCCATCACACCTTGTTTTTTGGAAAGCCCTTTTGTTATTATTTGGTTTTTATTTTTCTCAATGAGAATTACATTTACAGAGGCACTTTTGTTTCTTACAAGATGAAGTAACAAAAACCAGATGTGTCCCCTCACCTTAAACAACTAAAAATGATGGAAAAATATATGAAACAACATTTTTGGAGACACTGAAAATCCCTATGAGTGGGAAAGCAAATGGTAAGAGTACTGCAGTTGCCCATGCTTGCTGCCTGGAGAGAGATTCTGGGTCCTAGCGAAAAGGAAAAATAAAGACAGAGCCCAGTGAATGCCTGGATGTTAGCAGATGAAGAGCAGAGTTTGGATAGAACAAAAATAGTTAGAGATTTTAGGACAAGGTATCCTAGAGAAGAGAACCGCATGGTAGGTTAGCTCCAGAGTTTGCAAAAGGTCTCCCTCAAGTGTATAACACAGCACTGCTTAGTGCATGCAAGTGCAGAAAACACCCGAAGCTTGGAAGACAAGCACATGAAAGGAGCAGGTGAAAGAATCTACAAAGCTAAAATAAGGCCAGGAAGAGCTACTGTTTGCACCGTTCCAAGTAAAATGAACAAACAAATAAATAAATAATACATAAGGAATTGGAAAGAATTAACCCAAGGGTTTTGATTCAAAAGTGGGGAAAATAGGTCCTGCACTAAATGCTGGTCTGGTTCAATCTAACAAGCCTTAAAATCAAGCTTCAAAAATAGGAAGCTGTTTAAAGGTAACTTGAAAGAGAACTAATAATTGTCTAATAATAATAGGAGAATACTTAGAAAGACAATGTAAGATAGATATAACTTACAACTAAAGAGGAAAAGGATACAGACCCAATTAACATAAAATCACAAAATTGAGCATCTAGATAAAAATGTCCAGACATTAAATAAGTTTACAAGACATTAATATGCTTTTTTATATATTTATATATTTATAACTTATTTATATATTTAAGAAAGTAGAAAAGAGCATAATCATGAGAAACAAAGATACAAAAAATAAAATCCAAATTGAGTTTCTGGAAATGAAAACTACAACATCTGAGATGAACAATAACTAAATGAAAGGAACAGCAGATTCAACACAGCAGAGGAATACATTAGTAAATTGAAGATACAGCCGTTAAAATATCTAAAACAAAACAGAATATTTGGGCAGAAGAAGAGTACTAATGAGTGACTATAGGACAACTTCATTTGGGCCAATATATGCATAATTGGAATCAATGAAAAAAATTGAGGGAAGAAGAAATTTTGAAGAAATAATAGCTATTTATTTTATAAGCTTAATTTTAAAAGAACTCTGATATTTATCAAATATTCTGTCCCACAGCCAAATAAAATCCATTTTTTTTCGAGTGTATGTGAATATTTTCCAAGATGGAACATATTTGGGGTTATCAAACAATTCTAAATAACTTTTAAAAGATTGGAATCCTATGAACTATGTCGTGTAAAGAAAAATCAAATTAAAATTCAAAAACACAAAGGTCTCAGTGAAAACAAAACAATTATTTGAAACCATACAGCAAACTTCTAATTACTATGTGGTTTAAGTTAAAAAAAATTAAACAAGTTATTAGTGAATACTCTGAGTTGAATGAAATAAAAATTATAGCATATCAAATTTTGGATGCAAATAGAGGTAAATTTATAGCAGTATACATGTACAGTCATGCATCATTTAACAACAGGGTCATGTTGTGAGAAAGGTGTTGTTAGGTGTTTTAGTCATTGTGAGACCATCATAGAGTAGACTTACACAAATCCTGATGGTAGAGCCTACTACACACCTAAGCTGCATGGTATAGCCTATTGCTCCTAGGCTGCTAACCTGTACAGTATGCCACTGTACCGAATGCCATAGGCAATTATAAACAATGGTAAGTATTTGTGTTTCTAAACATACATAAACATGGAAAAAATATAATATTGTACACTTATGGAACCACCATCATATACAGAGTCCATCATTGACCAAAACATCATTATGTAGTACATAACTGTATATTAGAAAAGAAAAAGGTCACATATCAATAGCCCAAAATTCTTATTTTAGAAACTATTTGTTAACATGTTAATTGTCCCCAAAGTGATTCTATAGGTTCAACAGAATTCCAATCCAAATCACAGCAGGGAATTGTAGAAATAGACTTAGTGATTCCATGATTTATGTGAAAATGCAAAAAGAGTAGAGTTGAAACAACTTTAGAAAGAACAAATTTGGAGAAGTCATGTTATCTGATTTTAAGATTTATAGCATTCAGTAATCAAAGCAATATATTGTTGGTGAAAGAATATAGATTAATGCAGTAGGATACAATACAGAAATAATCTCCCATGGTCAAGAGATTTTCAACACAATTGCAAACAAAATTTAGTGAAAACAGGATAGTTTTTTTTTAAAAAAAAAAAAACATTACTAGAATACTTGGATATTTATTTGCAAAAAAATAAGCTAAGATAAAGTTTAATCCACACTTCACTCTGTATACAGAATTTACTCAAAATGGGTACTATAAACATATGTCCTAAAACCCTAAATATTCCAGAAGAAAACAGAGAAAACCTTCGCAACTTTGAGTTAGGTAAAGCCTTCTTAGACAGGAAACCAAAAACATGTTTTACAAAGGAAAAAGAAATGATAAGTTGGACTTGACCAAAATTAAGGACTTCTGCTCTTCAAACAATGCTATTAAGGGAGCACGTGAGATGGTAACATAGACAAAGTAGGGTGAAGAAAAAAAGGAAACTGTTTCTGTATTTCTGTAAGTCTAAAATTAGTTGAAAATGTTGTTTTTTAAATATATATATGTATAAGCTTTACACAGGGAGGAAAATCTGTTAATAACATTTGATTAAGCAAGTGAGTGTGTATATGCATGTGTGAAATACATTAAAAACTATGAAAATTCAAAAATAAGAAAACATTCAACCTAATATAAATTGGTGAAAGACTCAATTTATCAAAGACAATATACAGATGGCAAATAAATACACAAAAAGATGTTCAAAATCATTAGTCATTAGAAAAATGCAAATTAAAACCACAATGAGATAGCACTACACATCTATTTAAACTGCTAAAAAATAAAAATAACTGACACATCCAGAGGATACAGAGGAACAGGGATTCTCATATATTGTTTGTGGAATGTAAAATGTTGCAAGCACTTTGCAAAACAATTTAGGAATTTATTATAAAGTTAAAGAAATATCGTATGTTCCATAAATTTTATTTCTAAGGCACTTACTTGGGTTGAATGGAAACTTATTTTATTTTTTATTGTACTTTAAGTTCTAGGGTATGTGTGCACAACGTGCAGGTTTGTTACGTAGGTATACATGTGCCATGTTGGTTTACTGCACCTATCCACTCGTCATTTACAATAGGTATTTCTCCTAATGTTGTTCCTCCTCTAGTCCCCCAACCCCTGACAGGCCCCAGTGTGTGATGGTCCCCTCTCTGTGTCCAAGTGTTCCCATTGTTCAATTCTCACCTATGAGTGAGAACATGCGGTGTTTGGTTTTCTGTCTTTGTGATAGTTTGCTGAGAATGATGGTTTCCAGCTTCATCCATGTCCCTGCAAAGGACATGAACTCATCCTTTTTTATGGCTGCGTAGTATTTCATGGTGTATATGTGCCACATTTTCTTAATCAAGTCTATCATTGATGGACATTTGGGTTAGTTCCAAGTCTTTGCTATTGTGAGTAGTACTGCAATAAACATGCATGTGCATGTGTCTTTATAGTAGCATGATTTATAATCATTTGGGTATATACCCAGTAATGGGATCGCTGGATCAAATGGTATTTCTAGTCTAGATCCTTGAGGAATCACCACACTGTCTTCCATAATGGTTGAACTACTTTACACTCCCACCAACAGGGTAAAAGCATTCCTATTTCTCCACATCCTCTCCAGCACCTGTTGTTTCCTGACTTTTTAATGATCGCCATGCTAACCAGTGTGAGATGGTATCTCATTGTGGTTTTGATTTGCATTTCTCTGATGACTAGTGATGATGAGCATTTTTTCATGTGTCTGTTGGCTTCATAAATGTCTTCTTTTGAGAATTGTCTGTTCATATCCTTTGCCCACTTTTTGATGGGGTTGTTTTTTCCTTGTAAATTCTCTGTAGATTCTAGATATTAGCCTTTTGTCAAATGGGTAGGTTGCAAAATTTTTCTCCCATTCTGTAGGTTGCCTGTTCACTCTGATGGTAGTTTCTTTTGCCATGCAGAAGATCTTTAGTTTAATTAGATCCCATTTGTCTATTTTGGCTTTTGTTGCCTTTTGGTGTTTTATTCATGAAGTCCTTGCCCATGCCTATGTCGTGAATGGTATTGCTCAGGTTTTCTTCTAGGCTTTTTATGGTTTTAGGTCTAACACTTAAGTCTTTAATCCATCTTGAAATAATTTTTCTATAAGGTGTAAGGAAGGGATCCAGTTTCAGCTTTCTACATATGGCTAGGCAGTTTTTCCAGAACCATTTATTAAATAGGGAATCCTTTCCCCATTTCTTGTTTTTGTCAGGTTTGTCAAAGATTAGATGGTTGTAGATGTTTGGTGTTATTTCTGAGGCCTCTGTTCTGTTCCATTGGTCTATATATCTGTTTTGGTACCAGTACCGTGCTGTTTTGGTTATTGTAGCCTTGTAGTATAGTTTGAAGTCAGGTAGCGTGATGCTCCCAGCTTTGTTCTTTCTGCTTAGGATTGTCTTGGCAATGCAGGCTCTTTTTTGGTTCCATATGAACTTTGAAGTAGTTTTTTCCAATTCTGTAAAGAAAGTCATTGATAGCTTGATGGGGATCGCATTGAATCCATAAATTATCTTGGGCAGTATGGCCATTTTCCCAATATTGGTTCTTCCTATCCATGAGCAAGGAATGTTCTTCCATTTGTTTGTATCCTCTTTTATTTTGTTGAGCAGTGGTTTGTAGTTCTCCTTGAAAAGGTCCTTCACATCCCTTGTAAGTTGGATTCCTGGGTATTTTGTACTCTTTGTAGCAATTGTGAATGGGAGTTCACTCGTGATTTGGCTCTCTGTTTGTCTGTTAATGGTGTATAGGAATGCTTATAATTTTTGCACATTGATTTTTGTATCCTGAGACTTTGCTGATGTTGCTTATCAGCTTAAGGAGATTTTGGGCTAAGATGCTGGAGTTTTCTAAATATACAATCATGTCATCTGCAATCAGGGACAACTTGACTTCCTCACTTCCTAATTGAATACCCTTTATTTCTTCCTCTTTCCTGATTGCCCTGGCCAGAACTTCCAACACTATGTTGAATAGGAGTGGTGAGTGAAGGTATCCTTGTCTTGTGCCAGTTTTCAAAGAGAATGCTTCCAGTTTTTGCCCATTCAGTATGATATTGGCTGTGGGTTTGTCATAAATAGCTCTTATTATTTTGAGGTGTGTTCCATTAATACCTAGTTTATTGAGAGTTTTTAGCATGTAGGACTGTTGAATTTTGTCAAAGACCTTTTCTGCATCTATGGAGATAATCATGTGGCTTTTCTCTTTGGTTCTGTTTATGTGATGGGTTATGTTTATTGATTTGCATATGTTGAACCAGCCTTGCATCCCAGGGATGAAGCTGACTTAACCATGGTGGATAAGCCTGTTGATGTGCTGCTGGATTCGGTTTGCCAGTATTTTATTGAGGATTTTTGCATCGATGTTCATCAGGGATATTGGTCTAAAATTATCTCTTTTTGTTGTGTCTCTGTCATGCTTTGATATCAGGATGATGCTGGCCTCATAAAATGAGTTAGGGAGGAGTTGCTCTTTTTCTATTGATTGGAATAGTTTCAGAAGGAATGGTACCAGCTCCTCTTTGTACCTCTGGTAGATTTCGGCTGTTAAACTCTCTGGTCCTGGACATTCTGGGGTTGGTAGGCTATTAATTATTACCACAATTTCAGAAGCTGTTACTGGTCTATTCAGAGATTCAACTTCTTCCTGGTTTAGTTTTGGGAGGGTGTATGCGTCCAGGAATTTATCCATTTCTTCTAGATTTTCTAGTTTATTTGCGTAGAGGTGTTTGTAGTATTCTCTGATGGTAGTTTGCATTTCTGTGGAATCAGTGATGATATCCCCTGTATCATTTTTTATTGCATCTATTTGATTCTTCTCTCTTTTCTTCTTTATTAGTCTTGCTAGCGGTCTATCAATTTTGTTGATCTTTTCAAAAAATCAGCTCCTGGATTCATTGATTTTTTGATGGGTTTCTCGTGTCTCTTTCTCCTTCAGTTCTGCTCTGCTTGTAGTTATTTCTTGCCTTCTGCTAGCTTTTGAATGTGTTTGCTCTTGCTTCTCTAGTTCTTTTAATTGTAATGTTAGGGTGTCAGTTTTAGATCTTTCCTGGTTTCTATTGTGGGCATTTAGTGCTATAAATTTCCCTCTTCACACTGCTTTAAATGTGTCCCAGAGATTCTGGTATGTTGTGTCTTTGTTCTCATTTGTTTCAAAGAATATCTTTATTTCTGCCTTCATTTCATTATTTACCCAGTAGTCATTCAGGAGCAGGTTGTTCAGTTTCCATGTAGTTGTGCAGTTTTGAGTGAGTTTCTTAATCTTGAGTTCTAACTGGATTGCACTGTGGTCTGAGAGATAGTCTGTTGTGATTTCTGTTCTTTTACATTTGCTGAGGAGTGCTTTACTTCCAATTACGTGGTCAATTTTGGAATAGGTGTGGTGTGGTGCTGAGAAGAATATATATTCTGTTGATTTGGGGTAGAGAGTTCTGTAGATGTCTATTAGGTCTGCTTGGTGCAGAGCTGAATTTAAGTCCTGGATATCCTTGTTAACCTTCTGTCTCATTGATCTGTCCAATATTGACAGTGGGGTGTTAAAATCTCCCATTATTATTGTGTGGGAGTCTAAGTCTCTTTGTAGGTCTGTAAGGACTTGCTTTATGAATCTGGGTGCTCCTGTATTGGGTGCATATATATTTAGGATAGTTACCTCTTCTTGTTGCCTTGATCCCTTTACCATTATTGTCTCTTTTGATCTTTGTTGGTTTAAATTCTGTTTTATCAGACACCGGATTGCAACCCCTGCTTTTTTTGCTTTATATATATTAAATATATATAACATATATGTTATATTATATATGTTATATATAATATATATATGTTATATTATATATGTTATATATAATATATATATGTTATATTATATATGTTATATATAATATATATATGTTATATTATATATGTTATATATAATATATATATGTTATATCTTAACAAATAAAAGGAAAAGCCATATCAACAGAAGCACACTTTCTCAAGTCAGCCTTACTGGGAACCAACATGGCTTCACTCTGTGGGTCCACATTATCCTGCTAGCATCTTGAGAATCTTGCTGTTTTCCCTAGACCATGTTTCATATTTCATTCCCTGAAGGTCTTTGAAATTCAGCAGTTTATTATAGGATTCTTTGCATATTTATAGACCATCTCTGTGGCTATTTTATCAGTCAGTTTTATTTTCCTACTTGTAGTTCCTGGAAGTTGTGATCCTATTTCCACTTACCACCAACCACAACTACTTGGTACAAGGGAGGCCCAACCCAAGGGCCACCATCCAAGGCTAGTTCTGAAAAAATCAGTTTTCTCATTTCAACCAACTGAATTAAGGGGTATAGAGACTAAAGTCTGGCTTAATTTGTTTTTGTTGTGTCATTATTGATTGAGTTGAGTGGGCAGTTATCACCATTGGTTGGGCACACTCATGAAGAAACAGAGAAGGTTAGTAATTCAAAAGAGAGATGATGGAACAGGCAAGGGGAGAGAAATGGAGTTTAAATGTAATGCTGTCATTAGGCAGGGAAGAAGTCATAGCCTTGGAATCTGACTTTTCAGGTCCAATTCTTTTATTTTTTATTATTGGATGCTCATGAGGTTGCCTGCTATGTCCTTACAATAAACCTCCCTTTACTTAAGCTAGCTCAAGTGAGTTTCTGCTCTTTTAACTAAATGTGTTGTGAGTAAAAGAAGCAGATAACTTGGGGCTCAAGATTAAGGTGAATACTCACCTACATGTTTGACTTCTTAGGAAAAAAAATAAAACTCTAGAACGTGACAACCAAAAAAAAAAATCATCTCCATGGCAATAAAGAAGAAATGAAAAACAATTTAGAGAAAGATCTATACCAACTTTCTCATTTTACACATGAGGCCCATAAAGAGGAAGTGCATTGCCCCAGGTAACTCAGGTAGTTTTCAGCCACAAACATGTCACTAGGGCAAGTCTATTTAGAACAAGGTAGCTGAATAAATTGGTAATGCTACCACAGAGGCAAACTATTTCAATTTCAGTCAACATTAATTGTAAGAAAGTTTCCTCAGTATTTAACCCAGAATCCACATAACTTCCACCCACTGTAACTACTCCAGCTGTCTACAGTCACATATAATAAGTATGATATCAATTCCCTATGAATGTGTTTGTTCTATTATTTTTTCAGTAAAGTTCTACTGAAGTTTCTTGTGAGCCAGTTGTATGTGAAGCCAGTAACTTAAACCTTTTTTAAGATGAAATACATCTCTATACATAAAGACATAAATACAAAGAGGAAAGAATTCTGAGAAAGTAAGAGAAGGCTTAAAATATAAGGTGATATTTATGTTAGACCTTAAAAAATAATAGCAACAATAGTAATACTGTTACAGGATGAATTCTGATGTCCTCCCCAAAATTTGTATGTTGAAGCCCTAACCCCCAATGTGCCTATATTTGGAGAGGGCTCTTTATGTAAGTAAAGGTTGAATGAGGCCATATGGTAAGGAATTGGTCTGATGGGATTAGTGCCCTTATAAGAATAGACAGCAGAGAACTTCTTCCTTCTCCCTGGTGTTCACAAAGAAGAGGTCATGTGAACATGCAGCAGGATGGGAACAACATATAAGCAAGAAGAAGCACATACAGAATGGAACCTACCTTGCCAGCACCTTGAACTTGGACTTTCCAGTCTCCAGAATTGTGAGAAATAAATTTCTGATGTGTGGGCCCCCTGTCTATGGTATTTGTTATGGCAGCCTGACTAATGCAACTAGTAATGAAAATAGTTAACATTTATTAAGTGCTTGACACATGCCAGTTTTATGTGCATTATCTCATTTAATTCCCAAAACAACCCTTACTGTCCTGACATTCCAGATAAAAGAACTGAATCGTTGAGAGTTTAAATAAAGTCACCACAGTCACACAGCTGGTACATCTAGCCAAAGCCCAGACTATTAATGATACCCTGATCCAGCCTCGGGTCTAATGATAGCAATGACAATATGGCAGCTAATATTTATTAATCTTTACTACATGAGCACTTGTGATAAAAGTATTATATTAATTACCTAATTTGATCCTGAAAAACAACTGTCTCAATTAGAGACATCCTCCATATCCATTGTACGGAGAAGAAATCTAAGGTCAAGAGAGTTTAAGTAACAGCTCCAGTTGTCCTGCTATTTTCAGGCAAAAGAGGCAAGATTTGAAAATTGGTCTTTCTAATTTTAAAACCTATCTTGCTACTGCTTCCCAAACATTTATAGCATTTCATTCAGGAGGTAAAGAAGAAAAAAAGCATTCAAACAGAGGAGATACAGAGAAAATATTCAGATGTATGAAAGGGCAAAGTTCATCATAGGAGGGATTACTTGGGGACACTCAGGGAGCAAGTGTGGAAAATGGAGTCTGTAAGGGTGAGCAGGCTGCAAGCCATGGAGTCTTCACACAGGGCCAATTTGTTTGACACACTGTGGAGTCTTACACGCAGAGCAGAGGAATCTTACATGTTTTGAAAACATCTTGAAGAGGACTAGCTCAAGCACAAAGCCTTATTTCTCCTTTACAGTTTTGTTACTGGATCACCCAGATCAATAAACTAAAGTCAGTAATTCAGTGCATTATCATCTGTGTTATAAGGCTTCAACCATTTAGTGTTAATCAGCTCACATTTGTCCATTTCTCCAGCATATCCACAGGCATACTGCATAGTATGCTGTCTTGAAGTACAAACTTACAATATGAGGAGTAACCCATGGCCTACTCCTTCCTTTCTAAAGATTGAAACAGTTCCTACCCATCTTGTGAACCTCTGTTCACACTGATGCAAGATTTCCTGATCCCTCAGAATGCCAGAGAGTTTTACAAGGACCCTATTTCTGCCTGGAGAAAAAAACACTTGGGCCAGTTTTGAGAGCCAATATTTGTGTCTTTGCCTCTACAAATACCCACTGTGTCTCCTAAGTAACTCACCTACTCCTTCCTGCTCATGTTTGATCTGTCTTTTCCAATCTGAAGATGGTTTTTCTCCTTTTCACCAAAATTAGAAACAACATAGATACAGGCTCTCATAGGACTGGTTCTCTTTATTCTACCTCACATAGGATTATCATCCAACCTTTCTCCAAAATCTTGCTTACTATAATATGAGTTCACTCCAGAACCTTATAAGCAGCCTATTTGTCTCATTAGAGCCTCACTACATTACCAGGCCCCTTTTTGGAGCACACGTGAGGACCATCAGAGTATCGTGCCCATCCTTTGTGATGCAACACTTCTTCCGAGCTCTGAGGAACACAGCAGTGCCTAAGTTTTCTCTGAGATTCATGAGTCAGAAAGTAAGTAATTCTTTGTTTCACAGTGCCATAGTTACACTGATTTTATTGTCCAGTATGGTAATGATATTTCCAATCTTTTATGTTACAAAAAGTTTGATATTCCCTATTTCCTTATCTTTGAATACATGAAAATTTTCAGAACGTTTAAGTATTTATACAAAGGTGTCATCTAATTTTTAATTTTAAAAATGTATTTTTTGTTTTACTTTAATTCTTTTCAAAAGTTGGTTTTATAACTAGCTATCAGACTCTGTTGGGTGCTCTGATGGGCTCCTGATAACTTTAAAAATTGTGTCATTGAAATAGAGAACAATAACTTTGAGGACTCTCATGGAGAGCTGATGTGTTTGTAAGGATTGCTGGCCCAATATCAAGTAGAGCAGGAGTTAATAGCATGAGTTTTTACTCAAAATGTTGCTGATTACTTTGGTTTTGATTCTTACAACCAATAGTTTCCAAATTCTGGAGAAATCAGGTAGAGAGAAATGTGCTCCAAATTTTGCTCACAGGAGTATACTTTACTATTGGTGAATATTCTTAATTTATGGCAATATAGGTATTAGCTTTTATAGCAGAACACAATTAGAGACACTGGTTATTTTTACCAAGATTTTTACTGGAATGACATGTTTTCAGACTGCTTTGTGGAACGGAGGTTGATTTATAGAGCCAATAAAAGCCCCTTGGAGAAACTGGCCTCATATCTTGTCCTGTGCAGGGTTCCTGATCTGTGGCAAGTAAAGAATGTCACTTTCTGACAAGCCCAGAAACCCTAAGCTATTTTGAGACTTCAAGAAGACAGGAATTCACCCAATTTGTACAGGTATCTGTAGGCACAGATAAATCCTTGGCTGGGCTCAAGAGGCTTTTAAAAGGTTAAATCTCAAATTCCTTATGAAAATAATTCATTTTATGCAAATAATTAGGACAAATATAATGGAACTGAAACTTGTTTTGCAAATAAATTGGTGCTGCTGTGATTTGTCTTTGGTAAAAATAGGGAACTGGAGAGAGAAAAATTATGTCTCAAGTAAAAAACTATATTATACCTGTTGTTGGATTCCAACTCGGTCTATTGTTTTTGAGTCTCTACTGGTGACCTCAAATCTGATTTGTTTTCAAGGTCATTCAGCGGCATCACTCAAATTTTCAGGTCAGTTCTGCAGGGACTCCTGAAGCAAAGACCCTCACTCTCTTTGTTAGGGCTCATTATTTGTTTTTTAGTCTGCTGTTCTCTTAAGTGCTGTACTAAAACTGTAAATATGAATACTAATGTTTTTGTTATACAGACCTTGAGACCCAAACCAGGCACCCATAAATACATACAGACAACTGCAAAATTGTTTCATTCCTCTTATACTGTGGGTGACCCCTACCCAAACCCTGTCCTCTTTCAGTAGGAAGAAGTTAGATTGGTCACTGGCTGTTTCTCATCTCTGCAGCTCACACCTCAGAATTTAGGTATACTGAAGCCTAAGGCAGAGACTGAAACCAGCTTTGCAAATATTATGACAGTGAGAGAAGTCTAACATGACTGACTCCCCCTTGCTTCTAGCCTCACAGGCTGGCTCTCCTCACTCATTCCTGAGCATAGGCCAAGCTAACCATGGGAGGAAATTATAGTTTAATTTAGAAGCAAGGATAATGGTCTCTCCCTAAAATGGATTCCCTCTTTGTTGGGGGGCTGAAACTGCCATTGTTAGACTAATGAAAGGCCACAAGATTAGAATTATTGGAGAGGCCTACATTCTGCTAAAAAGTAGGCATAGTTTCTGTAATCTCTTACTGCTCAGGAGTCACGTGGGAAGAGGTCACAACATTTGTGACTTCCTCAATTGCTCCTGCTGAAAACATCACTATTGTGGAAGCTAAGATTGGTCTTTTGAGATGGTTTTCACACTGACCCCATCTGAACTTGTGACTCATGACTCAACCAGTCCTGTGGTCCCCAATCCAGGAGTGGACTCAATGTAAGAAGACTGCTTTCCACACCCCTATGATTTCATCCCAAACAATCAGCAGCACCTATCCTCTAATCCCCTGGCCACCAAACTATACTTGAAAAACTCTAACCTTCAAGCCTTCAGTGAGACCAGTTTAAGTGATAACACCAGTTCTCCCACTTGGCTGTCTTGCACTCATTAAACTTAATCTTTCTCTACTATAGTTGTATATATATAAATTGATTTTTATATATTATTTATATATATAAATTTATTTATGTATATACATATAAAACAACCTCAAAGTTCCATAAAAAATTGCAAAAACAGTACAATTCTTTTTTTATAAGCCATTGGAGTATAACTCCTAGTGTGTATGTCCTGTATGTCCTACAAAGACATGTTCCTATGTATACACAGTACAGACATCAATATCAGGAAATTACATTGACACATAACTACCATCTACACCTTAGACCTCACTCAAATTTCACCAATTGTCCAATATATAGCAAGCAAGAGATCCAATACTTAATCACTTATTGCATATCTTTACTATGCTTCCATTAGTTACAGCTCCTCAGATGTTTCATATCTTTCATGCTTTTGAGCCTTTTGAAAGATGAAGGCAAGTTATTTGTAAAATGTCTTTCAATTTGGACATTTCCTTATTATTAGATTCATAAGGAATATCACAAAAACAATGCTACTTTTTCTCATTATATCCTATAAGGTAACATATGATGTTGATTCACCCCTTTCTTGATGATATTCATTTTGATTGCTTGATTAAGATGGTGTCTGTCAGTCTTCTCCACTGTAATGTTACTATTTTCTCCTTTATAACTTATTTTTTTATTGGGAAGAACTTTGAAACTATTTGAATATCCTTTTCCTCATCAAATTTTTCATTTATTCACTCATTTGAAAAAATTATGTTAATATCGACTCATGGCTCATCATTTTATTCAACAAATTATAATAGATTACGATCACTAATACGGTGCTTAAATTGTCTCATATTTGGCCAGAGGAGCCTAATTTATCAATCATTATCATTTTTTGTGCTTTTCTTTACATTTTTGTGAAAACAAAGAAGTTCCAGGCTTATCTTGTACTTTCTCTGCCCCTGCCCTGGAATCAGCTATTTCTTCCAAGAGCCCTGGTGCCTGTTAGAGATGTGAAATGATCTTTAAAATCCAAAATGTGTGTGTTGATGTTCAGCAGCCTTTTTCAGTGAATTTCACTAGGGAATGTACATGCATATATGTTTTTATATGCACATTTACGTCTATATTTACTTTTAAATATAGACATATTTATTTTTATTTATAGATATTTGGAAATTAGTTTATACAGTTATATCCAAATGCAATAAGGTTCATTCTAATTTTCTCCCTTTTAGGATACTTAACTTTCTTCTCTGACAGTGAGAGTCTGTCTCTCAATATCCTCATATCATTACCTGTTTAATGGATTCCTTTGTATGGAACCAATTTCTTGTTATCACTCATGCCCCTCAGACATTCTATTTATTCCAGTAGAGCTCCAATAACCCATGCTGAGCTGTCACCTCCTTCCCCAACCCACTGACAGTCTCCACACAGCTGGGTCTCTGATAACCTAAGCCAGGACCCTGCCACCCACGGCAGAAAATAACCTTGCTCAGACCCACCTAGCAACTTTTGATCTGAATTGTTCAGAAAAAAAGGGAACAGAAAAGAGAAAATATTCTAATGTAATTTTAAATCTGCAATTATACCAAGTAGGCTGCAAATGTTGCTGTCTCAAGTGGCTATAGAGAGAGTGTGCATTTGGTTCTGCAGCTTTATTTCTTACAAGGAATCAGTCATTGAAGGCAAAGATCAAACTGTGGCAGTATCACAGACTAAATCAAGTGTAAGGTTTCATGGCTAGCTCAATGCAAAGTCCGTTTCTGAATGGGACTCCTATAACATCCCAGCTAGAGGTTAGCATTTGCTTAAAGAGCTTACGGTCATTTATCATTCACATTGCATCATCCATCCATCTGTGGTACCTATACATAAAGGGATTGTTTTGTTTTGACAATTTAAACTGCATTGGTTTTTAATATTTTTATGACAGGAGAGCTTACTTCTACGCTTCTTAGCAATTACCAAAATATCTAGAATTCAATCCTCTGAAGCCGTAATAACCCTTTTTTCATATGGGGGGGAAGGAGCAGAATCTCACTGGCTGAAGGCTTCTCCAGCTTAGTCTTCAACTGGCTCAATCTATCTGAGAAAATATCAGAATCCATTGAGCTGTTGAAAAAAATCCCATTTCAAACATCTGAATGCATTTAATACTTCTCTTTGATGAAAGTTCCAGAGAGATTTCAATAAGTGGAGAACCACTGGACAACCCTTCTGTTTGTCTCCCTACAGTTAATACAGTCAAAAATGATGGGCTTAATTAAGAACTCCCTTTCAGCTATTTCTGTAGATATCCTAATACTTCTTGCTTAAAGTCTGACACTTGTCTAAAAAATCAGTGCTGTAAGTGTATTTGGTTAACATCCTTATATCCAACCATAAACATTATTTTCAATGCAAATATTCTAGTAAGTTTTTGGAATATATTTGGACACTTTTTTGTGGGGGTGGCGGGAGGCACTAAACACCTTTGAGTCTAACATAAATTCCAAATTGCCAAGTGAATTGAAATTTCAGCCATGGCAGTTTGCTTTTATAAATCTCCTGTTTATTCCTTGAAGGTGACTCAAATGAATTAACTCAGATTCCTCAGGTAGCCTCTTTTCCCTTAGGATATTGTACTTTCCTTTTGTGAAGCATTATCATGTGGTATTATCTCTGATGTATAATCTTCTCTGCTTTCCTAATAGACTGTGGCTGCCTTGAGAGCTATAACTTAATCAATCCAGTTCTGAGTACAAGACCCCGCACATGGCAAGTGCCCAATAAATATCTGTTGAGAAATGAAGGGACCCTGGATAGGAGTACCAGCCTGGTCACCTAAATCAGGGGCAAATGCCTCATTGCCCTTGGGAGTGTCAGTCAGACTTGACTAAACTTGCAAATTCTTTGCTAGCTCCACCAGCAGTTTCACATCCAAGTGAAGAGAGACGGATATGTATTAACTTTGAATATATAGAATTTTACGTTGACAGCCTGGATAGGTACACCAGAAATAATAGCCTTTACAAAGTAATGACAGTGTCCTCATTCAGCTTCTAACTACTGGATGTCTCTCATAGCACCAGGGGTGGAATGCGTTTCTGGGTTTGTGTCAACTAACTTAGCATTACACATAACTTTATCTTTCAGGGTCAGTGTGTTGCAAACCACATTTATGGTTAGATCCTGCACAAGGCAACCTAGCTTTCTCTCTTGCAGCCACTACTTTAAACATAATGATCTTAAGTGTCTCGAATGGGCCCCACTCTCTCGCTGTTTCCCTGCTTGAAATGGGGCTCTCTGCACTGACATGCCCACCTTCAGCACTTTCTTTCATGGCTGAATCTTCCACATTCAAGTCTCAGCTTTTATAATTCTCCCTCCGGGGAGCCTTGAATTATCACCTATAGATGAAGCTCCACTTTTTCTCATAGTGCAGGACATCCCAAGATAGCCTTGGCTGACCCAGCTCTTCCTCAGTTTTCCCTTGTAAATGTCAGAATAACTGTGGGACATGCTGAGAATGCAACATTCTGAGATAAGGAGGAACTGGCTGGAATAGCCTGAGCTCTGTTCCTATATCTCCTAGAATAGAATGTCCCACAATGCTTTAGCCCAGCGATCCCAGTTTTTCCTGGGGTATAAACCCCAGTGCAGAATGCTTTTTGGATTCCTCAGCTATGGTATAATGTAGGGAACATGCAGGTGAGACTCCATCTATCCTACGAGGCTTTCCTGAGCTTTGAGAGATTGGCTCACCATGGCTTCTACTGTCTCTTGCAGCATGTCTGTGAGCAATAAAGTTGCTTCACTTGTATAAATTCTCTCTCACCAGACTTGTGCAAGTTGTAGAAATTGCAGCTCAAAATGCAGTGGATGAAAGCGTTTGGACTCCTGTTCCTCATGATTGACTTCATAATGATTTCTGCTGTTTTCCACGCAGTGGGAGCCCTCCCCTAGGACTGGTAACTGGCGCACCATGAATCTGCTTCACATATAACACCTGCCAGGTGTCCTTCAAAAATGTCATGTGCTCATAAACACTTCAAATTCTCAGTGGTTCTTTCTGAATTATAAACTCCATGAAGGTAGGGACTCTATTCATTTTTTCACTGTTCTAGTTCAGTTCCTAGCATTTGTATCCATCTTATGCCTAAGGTTAAAATGTGAAATCAGATGTATATCATGTATCACAGAGCCTAGCATATAGTAAGATTCAGAAAATTCTTTCTGAATTATTCAAACAATTTTCAAAACATGCCAGAGAGATGGTGATATAAAAGTCATTCACAAAGTTTCAATTCCATTTCTATTTCCTGAGACAGAATCTGAAGTAACTAGAACTTGTCCCATTAACTAGTTAACAAGTTAAGTCCAATTTAATTGTCTTTGACAGAGTCTCACACACAATTTGGAAGATATTTTCTAAGATGTAGGCTAGTGAAGATTAATGCTAATTGTAGGTCTCATTAACCGTGGCACAAAGCCTGCATTCTCCCAAAATCTTCCCCTGCAGACTCAGCTTCTTTTTCCCTCCATCACCTGAAGTCCACTGAGGTGGTCTCCAGGTCACCGTGCATTTTCTTGTCTTCTTGCCTTCATACAGGCTTCTTCTCTGAATGGAATGGCTTTTTTTACTCTTGTAGAATTGTACCCAGGCTAACAAATTACAGATAACCCAATTGTATTAGTCTGTTTTCACATTGCTTATAAAGACATGCCTGAAACTGGGCAATTTACAAAGAAAGAGGTTTAATAGCTTCACAGTTCTGCGTGGCTGGGGAGGCCTCAAAATCTTGGCAGAAAGTGAAAGGCACATCTCACGTGGAAGCAGACAAGAGAAGAGTGAGAGCCAAGCGAAAGGGGTTTCCCCTTATAAAACCATCAGCTCTCATGAGACTTATTTGCTACCATGAGAATAGTATGGGGTAAACCGCCCCGTGATTCAGTTATCTCCCACTGGGTCTCTCCCACAACAGGAGATAATTATGGGAGTTACCATTCAAGATGAGATTTGGGTGGGGACACAGCCAAACCATATCACTAATACAAATATATTTTGTTCAGAGGTATATTCTGGTATTCTGGTTTGGCACCACACCTTCTCAGTTATCTTTTCCTCCATCTCTCTACCTGATCACTGTTCTCAAAAAGCATCTCCTATCCCCTCCCCCAACATCTCGCAGGCATTACAAGTCATACCAGTTTTCTCCAGCTGCTGTGGCTCATCTCTGAGTACCCTTGTTTTTAACAAAGACCTCACCTCTGTAACTGTTCTCTTTCTTAAAGTCCCTTTATTTGAACCCAAAAGAATTATTTTTTTCTGTAGAAAACAGAATAATACAATCAGAAACAGAGCAATGTTCTCAACCAATTAGATTAACCAAAACACAAATTTTCTTTAATTCATTGTATATTTGATATAAATATAGTTTAACTATATAAACGAAAAACATTTCAATATAGACTTATTTTTCAGAAAATGAGAAATATATTTTTTCTCTTATATATATATTCCCTTTTATAGACACATGTATATGTAAATATATATTTATATATACACACACACAAACATATACACACACACATGCACATAAAAATTCTTAGAAGGAAAATCTCTAAGACATATTTTGATTATCTAATACATATTTTGATGACAGCTTCATTTCAAACAAAATAAAACAGCATTGGTCTATGACTCATCCTTCAGAATTCAATTCATCCTATGGTGCCTTCACTGCTTCCCTAGACAGAGCTGAACATCTTACCCAACTCCATTTTGCAATTTACTTTCTAACTGCCCCCAGCACATATAATGAAAGGTGGCCCAACACAGAAAAAGATGCTATGAGAACCTGAATTCCTCCTGTTGTATCTTCGCAAGGGCTGTTCTGTGCCACTTTGATGATAGCTCACACTTTCTCCAATCTCTTGGCCACTCACCATCCTTTCATTGACCCTGATTGCTCTTGGCTACATTTTCCCATCTGGGTGCTGCTTCCTGGAATCAACCCCACTGCGATAAGCATGTTAATCGTAGCCTGTGCCTAGGCATGGAGAGGTCCTCCACTGGTGGAAACATCTGGGCATATATCTTTATTTGGCTCATTATCAAAATCATTTGCTAAATCTCGCTATTACAGTACAATTTGTAATATGCTTGGAGCCAGAGACTCTGCTTACATTGTTTGTGTTTTAGATACTTGGCACACTGTAGCCACTCAATTGATGTTTCTTAGATATTTAATTCAAGAAATTTTGATGGAAAAACTAATGGCATGACCAAGTCTCTGCTTGGAAAGAAGGGCTGCTTGCTATACAACATAAATGTTTTCAACTTTATGGCTTAATCCCTTTTCATTCAGACAGTATGTTCAAATATATGCTTTAAATTCTGCAGTCTAATGTTTTCTGATCCATCTCTTTCACTCTTCTTCTTATTGCAGACCCAATTCCATCAGCAGCCATTGGAAGTTTTTGACAAAATGGGAAGATCACTGCTGTATATTTGTAGTTTAAATAGCGAGCATTTAAAGCTTTCTCTGAGGCAGTTTCTGGAAAGTTAAAGACTAATGAGAAAAACAGCTGAAGAAACTCTCCCCAATGAGTTTATGTCCCTAAGCGATGAATTTTTGAATGGTGCAATGTTCTAACATGTGATGGACAGCGAATTCCCAGAGAATCATCAAGTACACTTTGGAATAAATGAACAGCAGGACATATTTTTTAAGGAGTGCTGAGCCGCAGTAAAACTCCAGAGAATGCTCTAATTTCTTGATTTATTTCCTGGATTTCCTCCTAATAAACAAAGAATGATGAAAGCAAATATGCAAGGGCCAAGTTTCTACGGTCCAGCAATCACAGAATCATTAATGCTGTGATGCTTCCAAGAATATGGGCAAACAGCAAGAGAAAGAAACTAGTAAACTTTGAAGAAATCCCTTTGAGAAAATTTTTAAATGATCCAGGATAAATAGAAAATAATGTGCTGCTGTTCAGATAAATTTACTGGAGAAACCACAAAGATGAGATTGTTAAGGAAGAGTCAAGGGATGGGGACTATAAAATGCATATGCTTCTCCAGATAACACTGAGTTTTCAGAGTGGCAACCAACATTGCAGCTTTGAAAAGAAAAAAAAACACTTGGAAAGTGAAAAAGAAAGAGGGGAAATTATATGTACAATTATCAGAAAAGCAACATCTGAGAATTCAGCAATCACTAGCACATATGTGTGTTCTGTTTCGTTTAAACTCAGCTTCTCACCCTTGCTCAGGATGCCCTCAGTGAACTGCCTGTGGGTCTTTCTGTTGTTGCACAGCCCCTCTTGATGTCTTCCTAGTTGGAAATGCACACTGTCTGCAAGATTCCAGGCAGATGCTTTCTCCTGCACAAGTATTTCCCTGACCTCTACCTGGAAGCAATTTCTCCTACTTCCTGAAACCCAGAGGAGAGTATCTCTACTTCTCTAATTAACAAAACTGCTTCCCCACCCACCATGGTTACATACCGAGATATAGAAGAACCAGGTGAGCAGTGAGGGTTGAAGGCAGAGATGACAGCCACTGAGCAAACAATCCTACAGGGAATCCAGAGAATGGATAAACCTATGAGGGAAAGTGAAGTGGGAGAAGAGTTAGTGTTCTGGAAACCCGGGGTGTGACAGTAAGCAAGTGAAGAACATTAAAAGGGGAAGGAGTAAGGAGGAGAGGAGAGGTGTGAAATGGTCACTTGGCCTTACCTCTTGTCCTGTGCACAGTTTGCTTTACTGCATTTTTAGCCCAGTGCTGCATGACCTGCCAGTGTAAGGACCAGAAAATCCAAGGGTCTCACCTGGAGACCTCTTGGGATCACCTGCTGGAAGGCCATTCTGGAACATTCCGGAGCACTCTTATGGTGACTATGGGTAGATTTTCATGATTCTATTTTTATTGGTCCTTCATTATTATTGTAGTATTAACTAATAGGGCTGCCCTAGCTTTCACTGGAACCAAGCCTTGGTCATCAAAACTTGCTCAGCCTATTGGCATGGCCAAAAATATATCACAGATCCTCTTGGAAAGTCCACAACTCCTCCTGCTACTGCTGGAAGCGAGGATGGTGGACGCAGTCAGCAGTGAAAGGAGCCAGTGACAGAGAAGCCATAGTTGCAAAGGTACAGTGTGTTTTACCTCAAGAAGGGTGGTGAATTGTTGTAGGCAAACTCCACAATGGTAAGAGAATGACTCAGTTAGTCCATTTGTAGGAGCAGTAAGAATACAGTTATCATGCTAAGAATTAGATTCTTTTATGTTCTATCAGGTTGTATCCTCTAGGTCCTATATATACAGTGGCAGGCATATCCACTTATGCACAGACCTAGAAAATATCTATGCTATTGATTATTGTAAACCATCACAGAAGAGGGATACTGTATTTGTGAAAAGATCTTTGATCATACACGTGTTGCTGTGTCCAAGGAAAGGGAGTGGATGAAGGTGACTAGAGCTATACTTCATGAGCAAATGAAGAGTGGAAGCAGGGAGATTAATCTATCTGTGCATTAAGAACAAATGTTACAACTGCAGTATATTGGAGAATAACATGTCAGATACAGGACCACTGGAAATCCCCCAAGATGCCACATTCAGGATTTTGCATAAGCATTAGAACACCTGCAGAGTAAACTGTCTCCATATAATCCATATAACTTCATGTCACATACACTAATACGTTACACATCTCAACTAAAAATAGATCTTTCCTGATTTACTACCCTCAACCAATGCTATAACATTGTTATAGATATTAAATGTTTAATTGAAAAAATAACATGATTTCTTTAAAAAGCAAGCTAACAGCATCCTTTTCAGAGAGTCATTGTCACAAAGGCAACCTACCATGGTGCCTTAGCATTCCTGCCTGTTTTTGCTTGGTGTGCCAAGAATCCTGGCCCCTTTCTCAGGACTGTGTTTGTCCAGCATCAATGAAGGATGATGTAACAGTGCCACCAACCCCCATCCCCCAGACACAGATCATGCTTGCTTGTTGCTCTATGCAAATGCAATAAGTTCTCCAGGCTCCAGGTCCTGTTGCTGTCACCCAACCCACTTCATAGACAGGCATCATGTAGACCCACATGTGTCGGCCCATAAAACTTGGAGAGAAAGAGAAACCAGTGCAAACCAGAGTGAAGCTAATGCTGCTTGCTTCGCCATGAGTGATAAAGTCCTTTGTTTCTGACACAGGACTATCATGTCTTCTGCCAGCATTCGTGAAGCAATAACAGGTTAATATATCAGGTTGCAATTAGAATAAAAATCCCAGAAACTTCACAAACCCTGATAGTTAGTTGGAAGTTTGAAATCTAGAACCACATGTTTCACTTTCCTCTTCCTACTGAGAGTCCTGAAATCATTACCAATAATGAAACCTCACTTTAAACTCTGAGACTGTGTTTTCCTCTCCATACCTTACCTGGATGTAACCATCATGAGGGATAGGCATTCGGAGCTGGCCAGAGGAGATAGCCATCCTAAGAGAAACGTCTTTTGTCCCTTGCATCGCTTAAAAGTGGAGAGCATTCCAGAGCTTAGCTAGGGTAGATGTGAGGCTAAAGCACTTTCTGCCACTCCCCTAGTCTCACCACAATATGGAACCAGCTTTCCTACTTGAGACTAGTCCTGCTCTACCTGTGCCAGCTGGGTCAAGTGCTGGCAGCAAGGAGCATGGGTCCCTACTCCTATCTCATCTTCAAAGAGAACATTGCTGGATCAGAAAATGCAGCACAGATGCAAAGAAGTGGTCCAGAGAGGATAAAAAGGTTGGACATACAAGCTCCCTCACCCTTCTCTTGAACGAGGCTTGCAAAGTTCCTTTGCTCCACTCCAGATGTCAAATGGTCTCAGTGACTCTCTATTCCTTGGAGAAGTGGGAAAACTCCTCTGTATGTCACTGCCAGGAGACACACATCACACCCAAGAGGGCATAATCTAGATACACAGAAAGTGTGACCACCATCAATCTATTGCTAGGAGACAACAATGTAAAGTGACCCATGCAAACTTCCTGGAAAACCTGTCACATGACACCGTTTACTTGCTGCCAAAAGTGAACCTGGGAGATTCTGCTCTCTGGCTTCAATCTTCCAGAGCAGAGTGTAGGGCCAGTGCCTCTGGTACCTGCCAACCTACTCCTAAGCAGTCCATTGGGTGGTAGTGAAGTCACCTCTGAGCAGTAGTGGCTGCATTTTCCTCCTTTCCAACATATTTTTTAGACCCAGAGAGTAAATGGCTCAGACAAGGCTCATTAAACAAATGATAGATGTTCTCAGAATAATGGGCCTTATCCATCTTAGATATTGACTGCAAAGTGATGGGTGTGGGAAGGAGAAAGGATACTGGCCATATCTAGGAAGTGGAATAGAGATGTCCACCCAAAACAAGAGATGAGAGGAACAATACATTACCAATCCCATTGATAAGGACCGAGGTGATGCAGGCCAGGAGGCAGCATATCTGATAGAAGAAATCCACAGAAGTAACCAAAACTCTCAGCCAGCGGCTTGAAAAGGGAGAAGTTGTAAGGAAGGATAACTGTGGTCTGGAAGAGAGGCTTGCTCTAGCAGGCTGCTTATAGTGACATTTTGCCATCTCCCTTGGTGAAACCCTTTCCTCCCATTTCTCCTGATTCTTTATCCTTCTCTGACTTTCCTCTACCTCTGCTTCATTCTCACTTTTCAACAAGGGCTCATCTCCCTTTGTTCTTTGGCATTTTATTCTCCTTAGCATTTGTGTGTTTTCTTCTTTCTCCACACTTCATGTTTAATGAATGTCAGTCTTTTCACAGTTTTGATGTTACAGCTTTCTATATTTGCCAGATGTCTTCTCCCAGTCCATATCTCTCTGCTACATGTACATATTTATTTCTCTGCTGAACCTCTACCAATTTTGCTTTCTAAATCTCTCCCCATTCACCCGTGCTAGCTAAGGTCCTCCAGTATTGTCACTCAGATGATGGCCAAAGCCACCTGGAGGATGCTGGGTCTTTCCCCTTCTCTTTAATTCCAACTGGACCCTCGTGGAACACCAGGTTTGTCTGTCCAAAATAGGACATTTTTACTCCATTGTTAACCTTCCTCAACAGTTTCCTATTGACCAACAGGGTGTAAGCTAGAATGTGTATTGGGAGAGATTGTGCACAAGGCATTTGCTCAAGAACCATAGGAAAAAAACCTCCTGGAAGAAGGTCCCATAGAATTCATTGTTGGACTGAAGTCTCAACTCCAAAACATGGCCCTGGAGGCCCTTCCTGATCATGCCTTACCAGCCTGCCCAGCTCCAACTCTCACCACGCCTGTCTCAACCTGTGCTCCAGTAACTGTAGCAACCACCTAGACAACATCCTTCATCCCACTGGGCAGGCCCTTCCTAACTAGCCCTTTTGTTAGCATCACAACATACTGAATTAAAAGAACCCCTGCAGATACTGGTGGGACCATAGTATGCCTGAACATATGGATGTAGCAATTGTCCTCTGCCTGAGGTCAAGCTCACAAAGCAGCAAACCCTCTACTCCCTCCAACACAACCCAAGCCCCTGCCCCTCCGTCTTGCTGCCCTGAATAGGCACTCTTCTCAGATGACTTCATGTCAATCATGACAGCCTTTCTCTTTGGTCCTCTTTAATTTGAAGATTTTGGAATAGATTCTACAAGGGTTTGGGTTGAGCACCCATTGCTTTGCCCCACCCTATCCCACCCAGTTTCCCTTCCACACCCAGAGGCCCAGTAAATTCTTTCTCCTGGAGGAGGCCACATTTCTGGAAACACAGAAAGTGTAACTGATACCCTGAGCAGCACCTTCACCTTCCACCCTGTCTCCACTCTCTTCTCAAAGGGATTAGCTGGGTGATTAGGATTAGTGGGATTTTGTGGATTTGGGTTCTCTGACTGAGAAACACTTCATAACAGGGCCTGAACCAGGCTTATTCTTATGTGAAACAGCCATCTCCCACACACTTGTAACATAAAAAGGGACAGAATATTTCTAAGGAATTGTAAGTGCCATGAGCATTGAAAATAATAACCTATTTTTGAACTGAAAAATGTGCTTTAAACCTTTTATTTAATCTTTTCCAGATTGTTGATACTCTATTTGGCTTATAACTGAATGTGGTAGAGAATTAAACATTATCTTATGCTTTTATCCACATCAGATTGGAACTTAATTCTGTTCCTTTTTTAGCTTTATTTATCTGTATTAATTTACTGTTCTGAGACATAAAGATTTAGAACACATTGGATATGTACCGTTACAGATTTTTTAAAAGCTTGAAACACTATCACTTCCGACATTGAATTGTCAATGACTTCAGTGCCTCAAAATTATTCTGACATGCAAATGATGATAACTCCATAAGAAATGCCTTTCCTGAACTTATGAAAAGATGATGCAAGTTAATTTATTTATTTCAGATGGGTAGAAACATTGTCAATGTAGAATTATTCAAGTAGATACATTACAAAGCTACAGATGCTATTAACAGTCCAGGCAGCAATACAAACATGCTCTAGCCTGGATATTGCTGGGGTTCTTCTGTGCATTCCTTGCCTAAACTCATAAGTTTCAGTACCCACAGTGACAAGTGCACTGAGCTGGAGGATGGGGACACAATGATGTAAAGGAAGAGGGAGGAAACGAGGCCCTGTCCCCGACTCTGTGGAGGAGTAAACATAAAGTCAGGTAGAAAAAGAGACACAAAATAAAAAACAAGAACTGTAAAATGTCAGTGGCAATGATGACAAGGGTTAAAAAGAGAAGATAAATGATATTAAGAGAGTATTATAAGAAGTGATGATGGGGCTGCTCAGCTGTTCTGAGGACAGGGAACAACATGAGAAAATTCCTGTAGCAGGAAGGAGCCAGTGAGATCCAGGAAATGGGAGACCTTGGTGCAGAGAACGTGAAGGGTAAGGAAGGCTTGATCCTACTACACAAGGATCAGACGAGTGTGGACCAGGGATGTAAGAATGTGTCAGGAAGATTATCTAATTTTGGTTTCAAGAAGATCTGACTCTCGAAGATGGCATTATTTTGTCTGCATAGAGAAGGTACAGGAAGAGGCAAACAGTAGCATATTAGTTTCCCGTTGCTGCTGTAAGAATTTACCATGGACATGGTGGATTAAAGCCACAGACATTTATGATCCTATAGTCTGGAAGCCAGAAGTTGGAAATGGATTTCTCTGGGCTTAAATCAAGATATTGGCCTGAATCCTCCTTCTGGAAGCTCCAGAGGATAATGGGCTTTCTCATCCCTTCCAGCTTCTAAAGGCACCAGCATTCCTTGGTGCCTTGCCCCTACCTCCATCTAAAAAGCTCATCACTCCAACCTCTGCTTCCATCATCACCTCTCTTCTCTGTGCCTCTACAGCTTCCCTCTTTCCCAGATAAGAACTCATGTGATTACCTTGAGGCCACCTGGATAATGTGGCTATTGTCCCATCTCAATTAACTTAATCTCATCTATAAAGTCCCTTTTGTTATGTAAGGTACCATATTCACAGGCTCTAGGGATTGTCAGTCAGGAGGTCATTATTTTGTCCACTACAGGTACATAGGTCGAAAACCTAGGAGGCAGCAACCAGGTGGGAAGTAAAGTCTACTTGAACCAGAATGTTTGCAGTGGAGATGGACATAAAGGGAAAGGTTTGAGAGAGATATACGAGCCAAAGTTAACAGGACTTCATAGTGGACTGGATGTGAGAAGAGTAATGAAAATACCAAAGACAATGTTCATTGCACTGTTGAATTACAATCTGAGTCCTATGAGTGTGATAGTTATGCTCGAAAGGGATTAAGGTTTGGCAAGAAAGTGCATTGATTAGATTTTGGATAATGAGTTTAAAGGCCTTAAGGTCATTCAAAGGGAGATTCCGAGTGGATATTTAGAAAAACAGACCTAGAACTAAACAGCAGTTTGGCCACAAAACAAATCTGAGATATGGGCTATTGAACTGTCATCTATGCCTCATGCAGCAGCGAAGAAGGTAGAGAAAAGGGAGGAACTGGAAAAGGCATGAATACACCTTTTCTTGGAGGTGAGGGGATAAACAGAATGTTAATATTAGTCAGTCACCATGGCAGTCATTTACATTTGCTGTCCCATTTCATTTCACAGAAACATTGTGAAGTCAGCATTATTATCCCCAGCTTAATAAAATTGAAATTCAAGATGCTTAAGTGACAAAGTGTATTATGGATTGAAGTGTGTTCTCCAGAAAGATAGATGTTGAAGTCCTAACCCTCAGTCGCAGTGGATGTGATCTTATTTGGAAAGTCTTTGCAGAGTTAATTAAGAAAAGGCCATCACAGTGGACCCCAATCTAGCATCACTTGTATCTTGGTAAGAAAAGGAGAACATGATGTGAAGATAGATGTATACAGGGAGAGCACCATGTGACAGCAGAGCCCGAGACTCAAGTGATGCGTCTTCTGGTCAAGGAATGCAAAACAAGCATGGCCACCATCAGAAGCAAGAAGAGGCAAAAAAAGATTCCACCTAGCGTCTTGGAGGGAGCATGGCCCTGCTAACACCTTAATTTTGGACTTCTACCCTCTAGAGCTGTGGGAGAATTAGTTTCTGATTTTATTAAGCCACCAGGCTGTGGTACTTTGTTACGGAAACTCTAGGACCAAGATATAAGACCCAGTCTAACCTCAAAATCTGATTTTTATATTACACAGACCATTCCACTTCTGAACACAATATTTGGATTATTTTTTGTGTTGTGTAAATTAGTTTGCATGGACACTGTCTTAGGCAATTTAGGCTGCTATGAGAAAATACCATAAACCAGGTGGCTTACAAACCACAGATATTTATTTCCTCACAGTTTTGGAGGCTGGGAAGTCCAAGACCAAAGCACCAGCAGGTTCAGCGGCTGGTGAGGGCCTGCTTCCCCATAGGCAGTGCCTTCTCTCTGTGTCCTCATGTGGTGGAAAGGCTGAGGGGTCTCTCTGGGGCCTTTTTATCAAGGGCCCTAACTCCATTCATGAGGGCTTCACCCCCACTTCCTAAAATTATTACCTTGTGGGTTAGGACTTCAATACATAAATTTTGAGTGGGGACACACAGCTATTACTGACTGGTAAAAGCATTTTTTTTTTCATCAAAAAATTTCCCAATTACCAAGAGCAACTTGGAAGACCAAACAGAAGTCAGGTTCTGGCTGTTGCTGGACAAAGTAGGGCTGCACATACCTAACTGATAATTAGCTTAATTTAGGTCACTGTGTTTCAGTCAGAAGAGAGCAGAATAACATAAGAACAAAAGGAGTAGTTGCTATTTATGTAAGAGTAATGAGAGTGCCAAAGACAATGTTCATTGCACTCTTGAATTACAATATGAGTCCTAAGACTAGAAGGAAGATAAAGGGGTAAATTGTAAAAATTAAAAGAGGAATCTAGGCCGGGCATGGTGGCTTATGCCTGTAATCCCAGCACTTTGGGAGGCTGAGATGGGAGGATCGCCTGAGGTCAGGAATTCGAGACCAGCCTGGCCAACATAGTGAAACCCTGTCTCTACTAAAATACAAAACATAGCTGGGCATGGTGGCATGAGCCTGTAGTCCCAGCTACTCATGAGGCTGAGGTAGAAGAATTGCTTGAACCCAGGAGGTGGAGGTTGCAGTGAGCTGAGACCATGCCATTGCACTCCAGCCTTGGCGAAAGAGCGAGACTCCATCTGAAATAAATAAATAAATAAATAAATAATAAAAAAGGAATCTACAAAAATCCAGAGGGCAATGGTAGAGTGAAGCAAAAATAAAAGTTGAGATTTGAGAAGAATGATTCAGAAGCAAAGTTTATTGCCATGTGAAGGAGCATTTGCCTAAAAATGATACTAAGGAGAGGGGGAAAAAAAAACAGAAAAGTATAGAGTCATGAGATCCAAGGAATAAAAGGTATTTTAACAGACAGGTGAGAAGGTGTGAATTTTGAATTATCTGTTGGACTTAGGAAAATGGAGACCCTCAGTGATCTTAGCTGGGACTGTTTTGGTGGCATAGAGGGAGCAGCAGCCAGAGTAGAACAGGCAGAGAAGGCAGTCGGAGGTGATGATGGAACAGACGCTGGAGGGATGGATTATTGAGTGGACACTGATGTGGCATTGATACAGTATTTTATACAATGGGAGAGACTGAAACATCTTAAGTGTTGCTAGAAAGAACCTAGCTCTAAGAGAGATAAAATATACAAGACAGAAGAGAAATAATAAATAACGTTTCCTGAGAAGGGCACGCTATATTTTGACAGTGTAGCACAATTCAGCTTTTAAAACTTCATAAATATTATTAGCTGTATCATATCAGATTGTGAAAACTTACTTGTAAGTTTAACTTTCTAATATAGATTATCATATTTTATGAAATATTTTTTCTGCATTTGAGAGCATTTATTACCTTTGAATGGAATGGATTACATTAATAGTTTCTGAGTTTACATCACAACCGCATTTTCTAGATAAATCACATTGTATTATGAGAAATATACTACTGATTCTATTTATCATTAGTTCTGTCTGAATCCATGTTCATACATTAATTTCTCCATATTTGTCTTTTCTTTTATTCTTGGACAAGTTTGTGTGCCAATGTTATACTGGTGTCTAAAATGAGATAGAATTTGTTCATTTTCTGAAGTAGCTTGTGTAAAATAGAGAATTTATCTCTTTTAGAATGACACATTTGTAAAACCATCTGGGTCTGCTGTATTGGGATGGGACACTGGTAGGGATATACTTGTGATGATATTTCATGGTTGATTCATTTTCTGGAGTGGCTATTGTTTTCTTGAGACAATCTTGATTCCTAACTGTTTACTAAAAATATTATTTGTTTTTGAATATTTTGCATAAAGTTTTTCATATTATTCTCTTATTACTCTTCATTTCTATCTTTAGATATGCTCCCTTTTCTTTTCTAAAATTGTATATTTGTGCACCGTCTGTGGAAATTTGCTGATTTCATTAGTCTTCTCAAAGATCTTGTCATGATTGTAAATGTGAGGAAAATGGAAGGGCACAACAGCAAAAGGGCTTGGAGATCCCACTCTGATTGGCAGTAGAGCCAGGTCTCCTGATGCCCAGCCTATGAACTCCCCCTTGGACTTGCTGCCTTGCCCTAGCGTACTACCCTAATTCACTTAAACTTATGCTGAGGCAAACAAAGTTTTTACTTGGTTATGTGCGGGTAGAAAAAGCTGCAATGTGACACTAAGTGCAAGTGTAAACAGATTGGAAGCAATGACTCCTCACCCTGCATTGAACCCCGCAAAGAGTCCTCAGTGTTTCATGAACAAAACCAAGGAACAAACAGAACCCCACCAACAACAGTTGTCATCCATCAATACCAAGCCACACCCATGGAACATAAATGTGAAGGCCAATATGGGGTTCAGAATGTTGCCTTGTATTGGAAAGAAGAATATGCTCATAAAATTTCTAGATGTGCTTTTTAACCATTGAGTTTTGCTAGGTTTAAGATGTACCTTTAACTCAGTGGACCTAATTTTTCTTTAAAACATTTTAATGTAGAGTGTTTCTTTAAAACACTTTAACAAAAGAGAAAAAATGTGATAGATTCACTTACAGTGAAAGACAATGAAATGTCTCTTGTGATGGCAAGCAATAGCAAATAATTAAGAAAAATGCTTCTGACTTCTTTCTGTAATTTGCAACCCTTTCCAGCAAGAGACATTTATTTATTAAAGTTCTCAAGAGGAATTCTCACTGTGAGAAAATGACAATGCTATTTATTTAACCCAAATGGGAAATATCCATAAAATTTTCTTCTCTTTATCTACCACATTCAATTTGACAGTAATGTTTATAAATATAAATGATATCCGCTCCACAGATCTTAGCATACATCTTTAATCTTGAAAATAGTAACACTCTTAGAACCTAGATTGCCCAAAATAGCCACATAATTTAACACTACCTGGTTCATTCAACATGTCCAAAATTGAATGCATTCTTTTCCCAAGCAAAATGGCCACAAAACTTCTCTGTTTCTTTAGTAGTGACTGCTGGTTATCTATCCAGTATCTGTTTAGTTCTTCTCACATAGAATCAAAACCTTCATTTTATTTTAGGGTGGTCAGAAGCCTGGATAAAGACTGCATTGACCAAACACTCTTGTAGCTAGTTAGCGTCATGTGAATACTTCCAGGTGATGTAATATAAGCCTAAGTATGCAGGTGAGGTTGCCAGGGAAGCTCTTCAAATAGATGTGCTATTATCCCCTTAGTCCAATTTTTCTTTTATTTCATCTTTGAATATTGTGATAGCTAGAGATCTAGCGGCCATTCTGGAATGTAAGAGAAATTCTAAAAATGAGACACCTGGGTTCTTGATGTCTACAGAAACCACTATATTAGCTATCGTTCTCCAACATAATAAGCAAGCATCCATTGCTCATTAAATATTTTCCATTTGCTCTGATATTCATAGCCTCAGATGTCATTTCCCCCATTCTCAATCTGCAAAGGCCCAAGCAGGTGGTAACTATCTCACGAGATTTGTTCCCACATCCTCCATGAGAGTGAATCATTCCGACCCCATGTCAGGGAGTACTCCTTGCTTGTAGATCTCATCTTGCCATCTCCACCTGCTTAAGTGCTCCTCAAGGACAATGATTGTGGCTCTGCTATTGATTAGTCCACCACCCCATGTTTATAGTACCCACTACCTACTTATGTGCATGGAATGAGATCAAAGGTGTTAGTTGAAGGAATGAATGTGTGTTTGAGTGTGCATACATGTGCATGTGTGAGTATGTATGCTTGTATGTGCATGTGTGCATATGTATGTCTGTGTGTATGTGTGAAAGGGCTTTGAATTATTCAAGTGTGTGAAATTGAGTTGTAACAAGTCATCAAAAAAATCCACTGAGCTGAAATAATGCAGCAGGCCAAAGCAAAAGCCAAAGGAGAAACATAGTTAACCCAGTTTGAAAATTTAAAGTGTCTGTAACTCCTACTTAGGCAGAAACATTTGTGATTATGCTAATATTCATGTCATTCTCATTAACACTAATAGTGTGCCTATGGGGGGAGGTTGTGGGGTATGTATGTGGCTGTGTATTTTCTAAGATGTTTTGTAAGATGTCATGTTGAGCTATTTTTCAATTCAATGCTTATTAAATAAACTACCTATGACCTTAAGCCACCTAGTCTTTACTATGCTAAAATACACTTTCTGTTTGCTTTTTACTATCTTGATTTTGCATGAAAGTTTTCATACATCAACTGTTTAAATATCTGAGTAAAGATAATCTATATAGTAAATGCTAGATTACTAGAACTGGGATAATCACTATTATTTCTGTTTCATAAAGTACTCTACTCAGAATGATTTCAAAAGAAGGTAGTCTGTTTAAAAGTCTCAGTTGTGTGACCTTAAGCCCAAAGGTCTTAAGACAAATGTTTAACTCCAAAGGCGTTAAATACCTGCATGACTTATAAATGCAATGACATTTTCAACATTAACATAAGATTTGACCTTTTGTATCCAGTCTTCTGGGATGTGGTGTTTTAGCATGTTGGGTTTCTCTTTCTTTCTGTTTATTGTTCAAAGGCATACCTTGAAGCATAAACTTCAAGAATACAGCAGTTCAAAAACCAGAAAAGAACCCCTAAGAGCAGAATACAGCAGAGCAAAACTCAATTAAATTTTAACCTTTCAAACTTTAAAAGATTTGGAGTAGCTTCATTTCCTGCTTACTTAAATTAAATTGGATCCCTAAAGACACAAATAAAGATACAAGAAAATATATTGGCAAAAGCACAATTACATTCCAAAAATCGGGTTAAATTAAAGCACATCTCATTTATTCACTGCAGTTTAAACACATTCATGTTTCACAAATTGGTATTTATTGATTCAACAATCATAAAAAGATTACATATTTCCTTTTGACAACTAGACTATGTTAGAATTAGAGAATAAATCATACAGCCATAAACTGTAATTTATTTAAGGAAGTGTAATTCATGTGATACATGGGAATCAAAATTGCTCACAACAAAGCTATCAGTGATTGTCTTAATCCTTACCGTTTAAAAAATATCTTTTGTATAGAATGATATTTAGGAAATAGAGATTTAATGAAATCTTGCTTTAGTAAAGAAATCTCATAAGGAAGTATATGCCTTTGATCACAAGCTACCGGTACTCAACGTTAGTGTTGAAAAAGGCCAAATTTTAAAATAAGATTAATGTGATTTTCTATTGAGGATTCAGAAAAATGTTGTTAAAAGAATGTTGAGAAATGTCTGAACTCAGAAATGTCTGACTGGAAACTATTTCAGTAGTGGATTGATTTTATGCATCTTACTAACTATAGGATGAAAAATTCAGATGTATATAGTCTTTAAGAGCCACATCTGAGCACTCTACATCTGACAATGCTTTGAAGACAACAATTCTGAGAATGACATAATTTTTACAAAGCTTTTAAAAATATATTTTAAAATAAACTACGGCCGGACACGGTGGCTCACGCCTGTAATCCCAGCACTTTGGGAGGTGGAGGGGGGCGGATCACAAGGTCAGGAGATAGAGACCATCCTGGCTAACACGGTGAAACCCCGTCTCTACTAAAAATACTAAAAATTAGCCGGGTGTGGCGATGTGTGCCTGTAGTCCCAGCTGCTGGGGAGGCTGAGGCAGGAGAATGGCGTGAACCCAGGAGGCGGAGCTTGCAGTGAGCCGACATCGCGCCACTGCACTCCAGCCTGGGTGACAGAGCGAGACTCCGCCTCAAAAAAAAAAAATAAATAAATAAAAAAGACTACATACTATGCAGATTTTGCTTGTATAACTAGGAGGTAACCAGACATTCCCTTAGGTCATTGGTTCTTAACTTGGAATGTGCTTGTTTAAGCCCCAGAATTTGAGATTCAATAGGTCTGGAGTGGATCCTGAGAATGTACATTTCTTGCAAGCTCCCAGAAGATGGCAATGCAGCTAATATGGGGACCACTACGCTTTGAAAAACACTGACTTAGAATAACAAAAAACAGTAATTATTCATCCAAATGAAGAAAAAGAAAATGCATCTACATTTTATTTCTCTACCCTCATAAATTATAACCTGGGAGATTCTGGTAGAACTACTGTAATTGATACAGAGTAACTAGTTCAATTTAATTAATTTTGCTAAAGTGTATACTAAAAGAGCTCTTAAAACCTATTTTTTTAAAAAGGTATCTTTTATATGTAAAAAATTGGTGATTTTTTCATATCATACCATATAATGTCATCAGTATTAATAAAAGCTTACATTAAAATCATTAAAAACATGTATCTAGTAAATAGATGACAACAATAGAAAATAGTCCTTGTTACTATTTTCTATACAAACAAGTTACTAAAGTTTTTTAACCTGTGGGGAGGGGGCTCAGTTTTCTTAACAGAAAAGTGACATGTTTAGAGTGGACATGTCACACACACTCTAGTGTGACAGGCTTTCCAGCTCCAGAATGTCTCAGTTTGGACACTGTCAAATCATTCATGCCTTTGTCACAAAGAAGCTGGTGTCCATCTGGCATGGTAAAGAGAACAAATGTTTTGGAGGAGCTCCCCAAAAGTCTGCAGAAAGAATGACCTTTCCATTTGGTGGTTATTAACTAACAAGGAGATTCAAAATAGAAAATGAACAAGAGAATAATTTGACGGCCTGGAGAGTGTGTTCCAGCTCCTTGATTGTGCGCGTGCTTGTTTTATCCTTGACTGTTAATTGTAATGGAAGACAAGGTTTTATTCCTTATGGAAACTTCTTTAGTGCTCAGATGGGCAAGTGATGTGTGTGGTGACTGTCAGTGGATGGATCAAGAGTAGATTGTAGAGTTTGCTGCTGCTCAGAAGCAAAATTAATAAATACCTGAAAAAAACCATAAAAATGTTGTTTACTTATAAGAATACAACCCTTTGGTCTCACTTATTAGAAAGGAGACATTGTCTCAGAACACTGGCCAACTTGCCCTAAAAACCACAGATCATTAATTCATACCATTCCCTCCCAAATCACATAAATATATAAATCCATTGAGGACACAACTCTAAGAACATTCATATTTCTAGACAATTATAATAATAAATCACCTAGAAGTTCTCAATACCTTAAGCCTGGTTTTAGAAATATGTCGTGATGTATTTTTATATTCCTGGTACTCTTAGTAAATGAAACGCTTTTTGTTTCCCCAGAAGTTAGCTATCATTTGATTACAGTGAAGCCCCCCCGAAAAGTCTTGTGGGGCTGAGTAAGGTGGAGATAGGAAGGTTAACGTGACATGATTTAATTAGTTAAATGCCCAAAATAATATGAACAAATTGAAACTCTACTGAATATCTATCTTAAGTAGAAGGGTATACAGTAAACAAACTTTCTGACACTCACCATCCTTATCATAATTTTATAAAATTTAACAAGATGAATTGAATAAAGTGGTGAATTGAAGCAATTCGATTAATTTTAAAATTGGCTACATTAGGTCTGATGAACAGACCAAAATTCAACCTCCTGAATCATTCAAGATACTATACCTGCTCCAAAGTGGTTTGGTTAATGGAATAATGCTTAATATTCAAGAAGGTTTTATTGTTCTCTATAACTTTGAACAAGTCAGCTAGGCATCCCCATCTTTTTGGCACATGATATTCTAATAAATTCAGGTGCTGTCCCTAAAAGCAAAAAAAAAAAAAAAAAAAGTATCATATAACTAGCATTATTAAACAAAATTGATCATACTACATTTAATTGGCAAAAAAATTCAGTTACGTTTTCTCAACCTACACTTAATTTTGTGAGTCTCCAATGAATGCTTATTGATGACAATTTTTCATGGGGTATATTTGACAAACAACGTTCAACTGAGTGGCATTGCTGTTCTGCCCCCTGATATGCTCTAACCTTGCAACAGCATGGGGAAGCCCTGTTTAAGGAATCATAAGATGCCCAAAGATATTTGAAATGTAGGAATTTAACATGGCCTAACAGAGACGGATGGAAGGGCCCTGAGTTTTACACTGGGACTTGGGCTTATCTCTCACTATTCTCATCATTAGCTGAGCAACACTTGGGAAGATATTTAAACCTCTGATCCTTGTCTTCATGTATGCCAATGGAGATAATTATGTCTGTTTTATAGGGTGACTCAGAGTCATAATTGAGCATGAATGACAGTCTCACACAGCATGCTTCTTGCATAGTAGGATTTCACTAAATGACAGTTGTTGAAATAAATAGAACATAACTACTTTATGGACTACAGCCTCCTAGAAGTTATAATAAACTAGCATCCCACAGTTATCCAAGAGATTTTTAGACAGTGCTTCTCAAACTTCAGTGTTCATAGGAATCTCCGGGTCACCTTGTTAAAATGCAGATTCCCATTCAATAGGTTGGGGCCTGTGATTCTGCATGTCTAACAGGTCCCAGGCAATGAAGATGCTGCTGGTTCAGTGACCATACTTGATGACAGCAAGTTTATAGAGGATTGTGATCTCAAGCATAGGGCTATTTCTGTGAAGCAATGCTGAAACCATCAAGCCTATAAACCCTACAGCAAATATATGGAAGAGATTAGCTTTTGCAATCTTCTATGCTGAACAAGATGAGTTATGCAATGGACCTGTGCCCACAGATAAGAGGCGTGATATGTAATCACAGGCTGCTCTGGCCAATCCAGGAAGCAATTAAGCAGGCTTGTCACTCTTCAGAGTGGTCAAGCAATATCAGCTATCCATGCTATTTTTGGTAGGGAGGCAGGGCCTATACTTTGCAATGTGGCTAAGGTAACAAGTAGTATCTTATAACAGCATAGAATAAAAACAAAAAAAGACAGGTACATTTATTATTTTTTTTTAGCTGAAAACAAAGAAATAATACAAGATATTAGCACTACCTTGAACTGAATTCCTGGAAAATAAAGCTTCAAGTGGTCAGAAACAGTGCAATGTTGATTTGCTTCCTTACAGAGCCAAACTTTGACTGTATAACCATCACCAAACCTGAGAGTTAAATAAAATAGAAACATGATTATTATCATATTGACCTAAGATGAGTAAATTCTAAGTCCATTTTCACACAGAGGGAGAAAAAGGAAGTAATTACTCCAAATTGTTGGGAGTTTGGATTCTCAATATAAGACACAGAAATTAATTGTAAGTCAATTATACAGTTAGTTGTTTTCCATTTATATTGACACAGACACTGAATTACCTTAAAAAAATTATCAGCAAGTCCCAGAATCAACACCCAGTCAATAAAAGAGGGAAGGTGAAAATGCAAACGGTGAAAGCAAAGTCCTGAGCTAGTGGAAGTGGGAAGCTGGGCTGGAAACTGGCCCTGGGAAGCATGATTGCTGGCCTTATTGCTTCAAGGTCTGTACTGATTAAAATTTGGCTGGGAAAAGATGAAAGGGATTGCATATGTAATTACCAGGCACTTGTTTGTTTGTTATATAAAAAAGTTATCCCAATTGTACTTCAACCCAGCCTAGGTGGACAGGCCCTATGACTGCAAAGGAAGTCTCCTGCCTAAGGGGCTCTGTTCCTCACATTGTAGAGTTATAGACAGTAGTTCCACTGGTGTCCCATCAGCAAGACATGAGCTCATACTCATACCCTAAGGTAACCTCAAATAGCAATCTCCAGGAATGTAGGGGTCCTCCAAAAACTATATGAATTATTCTACTCCCTTATCTCAGGTGGTGTTGGGCACATCATAGCATCCCAAAAAAAATCAGAAATACATGAATATACTCTGATGACTAAAATCTCTGTCCATTTTGTTCACTGAAGCATCTTTTCTAAGTACCAAGCACAGTATGAGTACCTAGTACCTAGCACTGGTAAATATTAGTTTAATGAATGAAATGGCATGCCCAGTCTTAGCAATCATACTCATCTCATTTACAAAGCATTGCTGGGGGAAAATGTGTTACACTTAAGTAAATTTCCCCTAAATGAGGCTGATCCCTAACAGATTTATGGTCAAATTATTTTTCAAGTCTGTCTGGTAAAGACAGGGGACCCAAGACAATGTGACCTTGTTTCAGTGACATAGATCACCCTTGTGAGCACCCATGGAGCTCTTTGCCCTGGTGTTCTGTTTTTCTGTCCTCTTGTCTTAATTTCAGGCTGTCAGATGTCACTTCCCTCTGAGGTCTGTGCATGGCCACAGTAGCCTCCCATCATTCGAGTTAATGGTTTCTAATCTTCACATGGCTGAGAGGTTGGTGAGGACACTGACAAAATATACATAAAAGCATACGGACATGCACCTCTCTAACATTTCTATTTGGCTATCTCTCAGAATTGTTAAAGGCCAACACATTGGGTTGGTACAAGAGGTATATATTCTGTGGCCATCCCCCTTCTCAGCAGTATGTTACAAGCTATGCTGCTGAATAACACGATCAACCCATTGTGTCTTCACCAAATCCCCCAAAGTGGGTCTATATGTCCACGTTTCATGAAAAGAAGGGATTGAGGCCTAGGTGGTTGAAGGGGCTTCCCAAGGTGAAGCACCATGTCACTGGAGCTTTGTAAATGCTCCTGGGAGAGCTCTCAGCTGTGTCTGGGCATAACATTATGTTCCAGGGCAGAGGGGATGTGTTGCATGGAGATGTGTTTCTGGTCTCATGTTTATTAATGATTCTGATGGCATGACAAAATGTAGTGTTTGCACTACTGAATCCAGCTCCTCCACGTACCAGTTGTTTGACCCTGGAAAGTCTGGTAAATTTTCTAACCTCAGTTGCCTCATCTAGCAAATAGATTAATTATAGTATCTGCCTAATAAGGTTGTGAGAGGACTGACTGAATTAATCCTTGCAAATTACTTGGAACAATGTCTGGCACTGTGTAACTAAGTAGATAAATAAGCAGTGAAATTTAGGATCTATTCAGAATATGACCAGAACAGAAGAATGTTCTTCTTGGAGTGAAGAAGGCCACTATTTATTTGGAGAACTTAGATAAAAGCAGATAAAACAATTCAAACATGAATAGGAAGCATTATATAAAAATACAATGGTATGAGGAGACAGTGGCACAGAGATGGCTGTATGTTCTTATGCATATTAGGATCCATTTTTACCATTAGTAGAAACTGCAGCCCTTTAAGTATATTTTGCTAATGACTTTTGAAAAATTCATGCTAAATTCCAGTAATTATCTAATAAATTCTCTATAAGCACATATGCACATTAATAATTAAAATTCTTTCAAATTAAAATTTCGTTTGAACTAAAAGAATTCCAACTTTACTGTGAAGAACATGAATTACGAAAAAAGAAAAATTACACAGAAATTAAACAAAAAGTAAATTCTACCAGTCTTCCAAAATAGAAACACTCTAGAGAAAATATGCCTGAAACAGATAGGAGATAGGTTGAAATAGGTTACTCAGGATCTCTCTAGAACAGTTAATAGTTAAGAAGACTTCTAAACGTAAAATTATAAAAGCATGGCACCTTCAACAATTTAGACACTCTTCGAAGATTATTAAATTCATTATGATGTAAATATCTAATTAATATTAGCTTGACTTTTTCATTTCTATCTATAACATACACAGTTATGTCAATAATCTAAATTCCCTGAAGGATTTATTTGATTTTCATACTTCCACAGAATAAAATGTTGCAAAATAGCCAAGGAGTCATTTATTTCTATGTTCACTCATTGATCTAACATTTCTAGATAATACGTTATGTCCACATTATTTGTATAATCGGTGATTAAATAGAGATAAATAAATGGCATTATCTGTAGGTAAAGGTGCTTACAAGAAATATTCTACAATTTTTTGAGGTACAACATTTTGGAACCACAAACATTAAATGTAATATATTAATTAATGCTAAAACAGAAGCAGGAATAATACATGAGAGGAAGAAAAAACATACACACATATATTTTGAAAGTCAGACACTTCAAGAGCAGAACAAAAGAGGTGGCAATGCACCTGCAGAGACATTTCTGAAAAATCACTTGTCAAGTTATACCAAGTGCCTATGAAGCTTTGCATTCCTGAGCTTAAGGCTCCCCTTATAAAAGTCCTTCCCCCCAAATTAAAAGTCATAATTTATAACAAATACATTGATTTCAGCCTCAACTATTAAAAATCTCTACAAATAATATTTAATGAAGAGAAAATGGCTATTATATAATATTAAGTGCAAAATAGAAAATCATAGACTCAGTATTACATTAATGATGTAAGTATGTTTGCACATATTTACAGTCAGACTGAAATAAATTCTGGAATGTTATCCGGACAAGAAATAATCGCATAACCATTAGGTTTTATTCTTTATACTATTTTGAATTCTAAAATAATGAGCACATAAAACTTTATCATTAGAAAGAAAAAATATACATGGCTTCTAAGAGAATTAAAGGAACATACTAATGTCTCATACTCTACGACTGTATTTCAGTTTCTGATTTTAAAAATCATTTATTTAGGAACTTTTTGTCACATTGCCTCTAAAAATTAAACGCATAAAATTCTTCTTGGTATAGAAACTAATCTTAGACTTTAGAAAATAACAGGATTTGTAAAATATGTAATATTTGTATTATGTGTTTATAGATATATGCCCACTGATTTCCATCATCTGCCCCACGAGGAGTCTATTCACACTCACATCCACAACCCCATACATGTGCTATTCCCTACACATATCTGAGTAGGAAATACCTTTAAAGATGACTTCTCCCTCATCCACCACAGGGCAAGAGCAGAGAGCGGAGGGGGACCAGGCCTCCCGTGGTCTCACGTTAAGCTCTCATCCAGCACAAGTGTTACAGCACTGACTGTGGAATATGGGGTCCCCGCTGCCTCAGACTACATTGGTCCCTAATTCTCATCTTCCTGCCTTACCACACCACACCCCACTCCTCATGGGTTGGTGCCTCAACAAAGTACCAAATTCCAGTGATCTGTCCTCAGCTACTGAATTGTAATAGGTTTCCTTTGGATGCATGAAGAGGAGGAGAGGATGGCACTGAGGAAGGGTGGCTGAGCAAACAGCGGGATGCAAACATTTATGTGAGCACTTGATGTGTAGCTGGCATCTCTGTATTATTAATAGAAACTTCCTCATTGTAATCTCAGTCCTCATGATTACCCACTGGAAAGAAAAGGAAACCAAAAGAGAAGACTGAGGACATGAGCTCTGTCCTGTATCCTCTGTGAGTGAGGCACCAAACACATTATCCCAATTAATCCCCACAAAATACTGATGCTGCTATCTCTGCCTCTGATTTACAGAAGCGAGGTGGATCTCAGAGAAGCTACATAACTTGTTTGGGTCACACAACTCCAAGGGAATGGAGGGAGTTACAGTTCCAGCTGAGTAATTAACCTCAAAACTCCAGCCTGAAGCAGGATCTCATCTAATCGTTAATGCTCTTATATCCTTTATATTAATACTTTCACATCAATAATTTCATTTTACTCTTATCACACCTGTACATGGACTAGAATGGATACCAATTCCTCTCTATAAAATGCAAAAATTTGAGGCCCAAAGAGATCAGGAGATTTTTTCTTTGTCACTCAGCTTATTAACTAGCAGAGCTGAGACCATGGGGCTTACCTCACAACCATGTCCCTTCACTGCAAGCACCTTTATTATTTCAACTTCAGTTAAGTTTGATTTGGATCATTTTCCAATCATTGCATATGCAAATCAGAATGGCTGTGAGGATTACAGACCCAAGGTATTAACATAAAGAGAGCCTTTGACAAATAACAACAACAACAAAACAGTGTTTGGCAGCTGGCACTCACATTCCTCCTGGAGAAGAAAACCTCTTTGAAAACAGCCTCAATACACTTCTGAGTTTAAAGACGAGATCGTATAGGGACATGACAGCTTCACAATAAAAAAGAAGCTTGATTCATGTTAATACACATCACTCCATAAACACTGCTCTCTGTGGCTGGATGTGTCACTTTCTTAAATGACTCCACCATTCATAGATCCAAATTAAAGTGGTTGGGTCAACGTCACCTCCAGGAAAGGCCAACAGAACTGTCTCAGAACTCCGGAGGCCATGTCAGCTTCATGTCTGAAAGACTCTGACTCAATATCAAACTCTTCAGCTTGTCCATGAGGCTCTCCATGATGTAACGAGTGCCTTCCTCTCTGACTTCGCATCTAAGAGTATCCTTCATGCTACCCACAACCAGATCTCCTTTCCTCCATCCATTCAGTACTAATTCAGTGCTCACTTGTGCAAGGCCCTATTCTGGCTGTGAAAGCCCTTCCTGTGTACATGCAGGTGTATGGTGCATCCTTCAATGCCATCAGTTGTTACAGTAGAGCTCCAAGAATACAGGACACATAAACCCTTCTGCCACTGACTCTAACACCCCTGCAGATGCCCAGTTCATATTTAATGGAGTAATGAGTGAATTAAATTCCTTGTCAGACTTTGGTGTAATGAAAACAATATTTCCTTCTTAACTAAACAGCAAAATGCATATCTATTGTTTTTTTCCTTTGTTCTTTAGAGTAACCAAAGGGGATCATTTTAAAGTAAGGAACAATAGCCAAGTCAGTGGGATAAAAAAAAATACATAGCCTCATCTCCAGCATTATATCATTGTCACCAGCTAAACAAACATGATAGAGCGTTTTGTTTCCAAGGTGGTGAGGTGACAGCTATATGACTCAGCCCCTTATGTGGCCTCTTGCATTTTTAATGGTCTCTGAACATTTCCCTTCATTTCAGAAATACCCTAGAGTCTAGATAAACAAAAGATTTTTTTTTCTGTCCTTAGCCACCAAGCTATTCTCACACCAGTCACCTTGAGAGGCCAAGAGAGCTAAAGTAGTCATTGTCTTCTGATTTTCTTTTCTTTCTCTCTCTGTTTTTTTTTTTTTTTTTTTTTTTTTGCTTTATGAACATAATAAAGAAAACACCCCATAGAAGAAGCCATGGCAAGCTACTTTCTGGCTTGATGAGTGCTGCCCATAGAGAAGCTTACAGTACTTCGTGCGTGAGACCTGAGGAGGAAAACACCAGTATTAAAACAGGGAGCCTTCAAAGCCAGCACCCCACTCAGCCACCATCTGTGCAAAGATGGCAGCTTTGTAAGTGTTTACATAAGGAAGGGGGTGCTCTGCTGCAGGCACACAAGCAAACCCTCTCTATTCTGTTTTGCTGCAGTTTTAAGTTTTTGTAGGGACATGGTTCCCTTGGGAGAGTGGATTAAACTTCTTCTGAGTTCATTTTCAAAGGCTTTGCAAATAACCTCTATCGTCTCCAGTCAGATCCCATGTAATACAGCCCTTAAATAAATAATGTAATAATAAGAAAAAATGCATAATTGCCTTAACAGAGAAGAATTGCTTTAAGATTCAACCTCCCTCCCATTGTTAAGAAAAGGCTTTGATAAGCCAGGCTCTGGGTAAGTGACTCTGGGCCGAAATGTGCCTGGAACTTTCCAACTGGATGCCTGAGTAATGACAGCACCCTGGCAGCCAGGGGCACAAGAGGGGAAACAGCTGAGGATGCAGGGAGGGGCCAGGTGGACGGACAGCCCAGGGATTCACAATTACTTCTCTCTTCAGGCCCACATTCAAAAATGTTGGAAAATTACTAAATTCATGGAATTATTGATACATTTGGGTGTATGGTGGCGGGGGTGATAATGTGGCTGGCTCCCCAGGCACTGGAGCACATGCCCAGGCAGGACTGCACAGGCTCAAAAACAGGGCAGGGCACACAGGCCTCTGACTCACCAGGAGTTCATAGAACCCTTGAGACAAGGGTCCTGGACTCCCTGGCATGAAATCAGGCACATTTTCCTAAATCTCCCATGGGCAGGAAAGACCCAAGTGACAGCTGAGTTATGAAAGTGAATCAAGACAGTGAATCTTTTCCATGTTACTCTGGATCCTTTCAAACACTAATTACAAACTAGAGGAGCTATAACATAGAAAGTACTAACTGGGATCTGCTTCTCCACGTTATGGTTGGGGGATGCCTATATGGGAGGCGGCTGACTCCTTGCTTTGTGAACAGTTGTGCTAGAGTGATTGATAAAGTCTTCTCAAAAGGCTGGTGCTTGCCTTTTAATCATTCAAATATGCCTCTGTACACAATAAAATTAATACTATAAATATTTACAATAATGAGAAGAAAGCAGGGGCTGTAAAAAGTCAATATGGATGTTAAAATTGGACTCAAAAACAATAGAACTAGACTCCCTATTTTACGGGCACAGTCACTTTAGGTGCAGGTACAATACCAGCATGAAATAGATATAAATAGATGTCTTTGAAAGCATTTAGCCAAGGCTTCCATCAGGACAGTATGAGGAGTTCTGCAGACTCATTTCCCAGTAAGACTGCTGAAAACTATTTTTTAAAAAACAGTAAAGTCTCCAAAATGCTATTTTTCTGTATACAGCAAGATAAAAAATATAGTTATTCAAGAAAGTCTACTAAAACTGAGTAAGAACAGTAATAGTCTGTGGCATTTAAAACAAGATCTACTCTTCTGCTACCTCCCAGCTCAGGGAAATGGAAACTCCACTCCAGCCTGCTGCATCCAAGAACACAGGGCTCTCTCCCACCTTAGCTCTCTGTAAGTGAGCTGTCTTCCCCTCTCATTCTGGCCCCAGCTACATGTTCATGAGGTTAAGCTGCCAGTGAGTACAGATGAGAGGTGATGGTGCCCTTTTTTTACCCAGCTCTACCTCATTAGACAAAGGCTCATTAGACAGAGGCTTTAAATTAAGAACAGCATTGCCGAGAATATTGGGGTCCCCCTTGTTCTTGCCTCATATCATGGTGTGGGGTTTCCACATGGGAGAAGCAAGCTGAGAGAATCTGAGGTCACTGTCCTCCCTCTCCCATGAGTGTTCAGCTCCTAAAGTGGGAGGGTCATTCAGAAAGAAACATGATGTTGCTCCCATTTCTAGCTCCAGAAATGTGGCTCATATATGTTTCCTTGCCTCTAAAGAAGCAAGCCATAAACAGATAACTGCTAATCTATCCCCAAAGGGACTGTTTTGTTGTTTTAGTTTTTAGGTTTTTTTTTTTTTTTTTTGGCAACAAAATGTGGAGAAGTTCAACCATAAGGGTGTTCTTAATAACTGGAACCTGTGGTGAAAGGCAATTGGGAGATTGATAGATTCATCGGAGATACAGGCTAAACTACAGGCTGTCTAATTTACCAGAGAGAACCAGGGAGACCACTGGAAGGAGCCCTCCCAGTGGCAAATTTGTGATTAAAACAAATCTCAAACACTGATCTCAGGAAGGAGTCCTTTAACACAGCCTAAATTTTATGAGATTTATATGTAGAACAATTTATGCCCATGATATTGTTGAAAACAATACAGCAATGAGTGAATCTTACCAGCTGCGTGTGGGTAAAACAACGAGGCAGAAGCAATCCCAAGTTACTTTATAAAATACTTTGAGATGAATGAAAATGAAGGGACAACATTCCAAAGCTTATGAGACGTAGCTAAAGCAGTGCTTGGAGAAACATTTATAGTAATAATACTTCCATTAACATGTAAGAAAAATTACAAAATAATACTCAACTGTATACCTTAAGAAACTGGAAAAAGAAAAGCAAACTAAACCTAAAGCAAGAAGACAGGAAATAATAAAGTTGGAGTGGACATTGATAAAATCAAGAATATAAAAACAATAGAGAAAAATGAAACTAAAGTTGATTGTGGAAGTTTGGAATGCCATATGGAATATGGCTATGAAAAAAAATCAACAAATGTGATAAATATTTAGCATAATTGACCAAGAAAAAAAGAGAGATGATTCAAATTACTAGTATCAGAAATGAAAGAGAAAGCATTACTGCTGACCTTACAAAAACAAGCCATCCTTGATGGTTTTACTGGTAAACCAAATGTTTTAAGAAATAATACCAATTTTTCACAAACGTGTTTAAAAAATAGAAGTGGAGGAACACTTTCCACCTCACTCTTTGAGGCCAGTGTTACCACAATACCAAAACCAAAGACATCACACACACGCAATCTCAAAAGAAAGGAACATTACAGACCAATGTCTCTTAAGAATATGAACACAAAAATCCTCAACACAATACTAGAAAATTAAATCCAATAATATTGAAAAAAATTATACATCATGATCAAGTGAGATTTATTCTAGAAATGCAGTTTGTTTATCATTCAAAAGTCATTAATTTTTTTGTTTACCCAGAAGTCATTCAGGAGCAAGTTGTTTAATTTCCATGTAATTGTGTGGTTTTGAGAAATCTTGGTATTGATTTTTATTTTATTTACATCTCTCTGTCATCTATCTATCTATCTATCTATCTATCTATCTATCTATCTATCTATCTATGTATCTATCTATCTATGTATCTATCTACCTATCTATGAAAGAGAAGTGTCTCACTCACTCTGTCACCCAGAGTGGAGTGCAGCAGTGCAATCTTGGCTCACTGCAATTTCTGTCTCCCAGGTTAAGGTGATTCTCCTGCCTCAACCTCCCAAGTAGCTGGGATTATAGGTGCGTGCCACCACACCTAGCTAATTTTTGTATTTTTTTTTTTTTTTTTAGTAGAGAAAGAGTTTCACCACGTTGGCCAGGCTGGTCTCAAACTCCTTGCCTCAAGAGATCCATCCACCTTGGCCTCCGAAAATGCTGGGATTACAGGGGTGAGCTACCGCACCCAGCCTAATTTTTATTTTTTATATTCCATTGTGGTTCAAGATTTCAATTTTTTGAATTTATTGAGACTGGCTTTATGGCTGAGCATGTGGTTGATTTGAGAGTATGTTTCATGAGCAGATGAGAATAATGTACATTCTGTGGTTGATGGGTAAAGTAGTCTGTGGATGCCTATTAGGTCCAATTTGTCAAGTGTCAAAGTTAAGTCTAGAATTTCTTTGTTAGCTTTCTGCCTCAATTATCTGTCTAATGCTGTCAGTGGGGTGTTGAAGTCCCCCAGTATTATTATGTGGCTGCCTAAGTCTTTTCATAGTTCTAGAAGTACTTGTTTTATGAATTTGAGTGCCTTTGGTCATTCCATATTTGTTTATTTATCTTTTTATTATTGAGTTGAGATATATATCTACAGCTATCTATCTTCTGGATGCCAATTTCTTATCAGGTAAATTTTTCCTATTCTGTTATCTTTTCACACTTTTGATAGTGTCATTTAAAGCATAAACATGTTTAATGTTGATGACAATTAATTTACTTTTTGTCTTTTGTTGTTTGTTGTGTTTTTGGTGTCATATCTGAGAATCCACTGACAGTTTCAAGGTCATGAAGATTTATCCCTATGTTTTCTTCTAAGAGTTTTACAGTTTTAGCATTTACATTTAAGTCATTCATTCACCTTCAGTAATTTTTTTGTATTAACTGTGTGAGAGGTAGGGGCCCAGCTTCATACTTTTGCATGTGACTGTCCAGTTCTCCTAGCACTACTTATTGAAAACACGATTTGAAAATCCTATCCACCCCATTGGCTCCTCAGCCAAGCACATACACCAAATGTCTGAATAGTCTTTTCAACATCAAATGTTCTTAGCACCCTTGCAAAAATCAGTTGACCATAAAGCCCAGGGTTTACTCCTGGACTCTTAATTCTATTTCACTGATCTACAGGTATATCCTATTGTGAGTACCACATGCAAATAAATGAAGTTGGGACCCTACCTCACACACAGTTAATACAAAAAAGAATTACTAAAGATGAATCGAAGACTTAAATGTAAGTGCTAAAACTATAAAACATTTAGAAAAAAATCTGGGGGTAAATCTTCATGACCTCGGATTTGGCAATGAATCCTTGGATATGACACGAAAACCACAAACAACAAAAGAAAAAAAGATTAATTAAGTATCATCAAAATTAAACATGTTTGTGCTTTCAAGGGCAATACCCAAAGTGTGAAAAGACAGCCCATAAAATGGGAAAAATTCAACTGATAAGAAATTGGCATCCAGAAGATAGATATAGATATAGATCTCAACTCAATAATAAAGACAAATAAACCAATATAAAAATGGCCAAAGAGCACCCAGACTCATAAAACAAGTACTTCTAGACCTACAGAGACTTAGGCAGCCAGAAGTCCTAGCCAAAGCAATCAGGCAAGAGAAAAAAGTAAAGAGCATTCAAATCAGAAAAGAGGAAGTAAATCTATCTCTGTTTGCCAATGATATGAATGTGTAACTAGAAAACACTAAAGACTCCTCCAGAAGACTCCTGGACTTGATAAATGAATTCAGTAAAGTCTCAGTTTACAAAATCAATGTGCACAAATCAGTAGCACTGCTATACACTAACAACAACCAAGCTGAGAATCAAATCAAGAACTCAATTCCCTTCACAAAGCTGCAAAAACACAAAATACCTAGGAATATACTTAGCCAGGGAAGTGAAGGATCTCTACAAAGAAAATTACAAATGCTAATGAAAGAAATCATATATGGCACAAATAAATGGAAATACATCCCATGCTTATGGATTAGAAGAATCAACACCATAAAAATGACCACATTTCTAAAAGCAATCTACAGATTCAATGTAATTCCTATCAAAATTCCAATATCATTATTCATAGAATTAAAAAAAAACTATTCTAAAACTCATATGGAACCAAAAAAACAAAAAGAAAGAAAAAGCTCCAATAGTTAAAGCAATCTTAATAAAAAAGAACAAAGCTGGAGCCATTACATTATCTGAATTCAAACTATGCTATAAGGCTACAATAACCAAAACATCATGGTACTGGTACAAAAACAGACACATAGACCAATGGAAAAGAATACAGAATCCAGAAATAAAATTGTACACCTACAACTATCTAATCTTTAGCAAAGCTGACAAAAATAAACAATGGGGAAAGGACTACCTATTTAATAAATAGTGCTGGGATAAGAGGCTAGCCACATGCAAAAGAATGAAACTGGACCCCCATCTTTCACCATGTATAAAAATTAAAATGGATTAAAGACTTAAATATAACACTACAAACTAAAAAAATCATAGAAGAAAATCTAGGAAATATCATTCTGGACATCAGCCTTGACAAAGAATTTATGACTAAGTCCTCAAAAGCAATTCCAACAAAAATAAAAACTGACAAGTGAGACCTAAGTAAACTGAAGGGCTTTTGCAAAGCAAAAGAAACTATCAACAGAGTTAAAAATAAAAAGACAACCCACAGAATGAGAGAAAATATTTCCAAACTATGCACCCAACAAAGGTCTAATATACAGAATCTATAAGGAACTTAACAAGCAAAAAACAAATAACCCCATTAAAAAAATGGGCAAAAGACAAGAAGAGACACTTCTCAAAAGAAGATCTATAAGCAGCCAACAAACATATGAAAAAAATACTCATCATCACTAATCAACAGAGAAGTGCAAATCAAACCCACAGTGAAATACTATTTCACACGAGTCAGGATGGCTATTATTAAAAAGAAAAAAAAAAAACAGATGCTGGCAAGGCTGTGGAGAAATGGGAATGCCTATCCACTGTTGGTGGGAATGTAAATTAGTTCAGCCACTGTGGAAAGCAGTTTGGTGACTTCTCAAAAACTTAAAACAGAGCTACCATTCAACCTAGTAATCCCATTATTGGGTATATACCCAAAGGAATACAAATCATTTCACCATAAAGACACATGCATGTATATGTTTTTTGCAGAAGGTATTCATGGTAGCAAAGACATGGAATCAACCTAAATGACCATCAGCTAAATAAAGAAAATGTGGTACATATATACCATGGAATACTGTGCAGTCGTAAAAAAGAACAAGATCGTGTCTTCTGCAGCAACATGGATGGAGCTGGGGCCCATTAACCTAACTGAACTAATGCAGAAACAGAAAACCACATACCACATGTTCACACTTATATGTGGGAGTTAAACAACGAGTATGCATGAAAACAAAGAAAGGAACAATAGACACTGGAGCCTACTTGAGGGTGGAGGATGGGAGGAGAGTGAGGATTGAGAAACTACCTATAGGATGCTATTTGCATTGCCTGGGTGATGAAATAACGTGTACACCAAACCCCCATGACATGAAATTTACCTATATAAGAAATCCACACCTATACCCCTAAAACTAAAATTTTTTAAAAATTAATAAAAGACATTTTATCCTTGAAATACTGACAGGATATTATATAAAATATTTAGAGTAGTAATCCAAAAACAAAAAAGATTTTCAAAACACATAAAAATTTTAAATCTAGGAAACTCTCCTAAAAGGAAAAGTAGAACAAAATAGACCAAGAAATAGATAATAATAATTTTAAAAATTGGTGAAAATGTTTGGAGGTTGTAGCAGATTGTAAATATTGCCCCAATTCTTCTCATTCCTACATCTGTGTCCTTTGCCATGTAGCTATACGTGGTGTTCTTCCACTATGGGTGGGACTACCTTCCTACCCTTTTACTTTGGGCTAGCCACGTGACTTGATTTGGCTAAAAGGACATTAGTAGTGGTGATGTGACCAGAGGCTTGGTTCATCCTTGTGCAGTTTGGCCTGTCCATTCTGGTGCCTCAACATTCCAGACACCAATCCCAGGATGACAAGGGACAGGTGCACAAATCCAGCCCAGGCCAGCCCATCTCCATAAAACCTGCAGGCTCTTGAGGGCAAATGATTTTTTAAGCCACTGAGTTTTTTTGGACTTTGCAGCTTTTTTTTTTTTTTTTTTTTTTGCCAAAATGTAACTGATGCTTTAGGAATTTTTTTTGTTCTTTTATAAAAATGGAATGAAAAAATAAAATTTGTAAGATAACTATGAAACAAATGTTGTGGGCTGGTGCATTTAAAAATACACACTCACACACGCATTTTATGCTCATAGTTTGAACTCAGAGTAAGAAAAGCTTCTCCCAAATCCCAATCCTGATACATTTTAAACCTGGAATAAAGAAATCCATTTCCTTGGTTAGGCTATGTTTTCTTGTGCCTAGGCTATATTTACAATAGGAAATCATAATCCCATAGTGTACAGTTGGATTCTGGAATGGCATATTTTTGCTGTCTGCAATGCACATTAATTCTTGGCAAGCCGGTGTACACCAGCACTAAGTCTGGCTGTCCAGCAGAGAAGGTGACAGCACAATATTGCCAAGGCCATGGCAGCAATTAGGACTGAATCGTACACCTGATAGTTTCTGTTAGTGGAGATGCCAAAGGCAGACAGAGTCCAGTTTCGAAAAGCAGCAAACTAGTCATGAATAATGCAGACTGTTTTGAGAGAAAGCAGGCTTCACCCTGTCTAAAGATAAATGGCATCAGAGTAAAAGTCTCCATCAAAGGGGTCAGTTATTGTTCTTGTTAGTGGTTGTTGTTCATTAAGCTAGGCAGAAGCTGAATGCTTGAGTGGCCTCATCTGATTCGTCTTTTACAGTCTAGTTGCAGCATTCTGAAAGGAATTCCCGTTAAGCAAAAAGCTGCCATGTACTAGGAATTTTACATTCATTATTAATACATTCATTCATTTGTTCAACAAATACGTTGAGCACATTTATGTACCTGGCACTATTTCAAATGGTAAGGATACAGAAGTAAACAGAAGAAAAGGTTTTACCCTCAGAAAGTTTACATGCTACTGGGCAGAGATAGACAATAACCTCTAAGTACATAAATTAATGCTATATTTAATATGTCACAGGGAATATTAGTCTGTTCAGATTCATGTACAGTGACAGAAAGCCCCAAATAGTAAGGATGTTAATGTTTAAAGTCTGAAGTCAGGCAGCCAGAGTAGAAAAAGCATTCATTTGGCTCATTCTGTGTTATTGCTCCGCTTCACAGGTCTCCATTGCTAAGATTTCCTCGTGGCTCAAGATGGCTGCTTCATCTCTAGCCATCTCTAGCCATCAGCTCTGTATAAAGTAAAAGGAAGAAAGAAAGGGAAGAATCAGGGATGTCCCTCCTTGCAAATTCATATCCCTGACATTGTGGACATCTCTTCTTACTATAACTCTTCGGCCACATGTAGCTGTAGGGAAAGCTGGAAAACAGTCTTATTCCTATGTAGGCATGTTGTCAGCTAACATCCAGGTGTTCTTCTTCTTCTATGAATAATTACAATCGATGCTGGAGACCTCTCTGAAGAGGGGACAGTAGAGCAGAGAACTGAAGGAACTAGTCATGTGTTTTTCTTGGGAAAGAACTTTACAGCGGGGGAAAGAGAAAGCATAGCATGCTCAAGTGGTGCTACGGTTTGAGCGTGTCCCCCCGAAGTTCAGGTATCAGAACCTCAATTCCTCAATGTGGTAGCACTGGGACATAGGACTAAGTGGGAAGTGTTTGGGTCATGGAGACTCTTCCCCCATGAATGGATTAATGCTATTCTTTAGAGACTGGGTTAGTTCTCAGGGAACTTGGCTAGTTCTCATTAAAGTGGGTTGTTACATAGCAAGCTTGACCCCTTGTGCTTGTCTCTTTTAGCTTGCACTCATATGTCTGTGCTTCTGCCAGGCTATCCAGCAGCACTAGGCCCTCACCAGAAGCCGACCAGAGGCAGCCACCAAATCTAGGACTTCCTAGCCTCCAGAATTCTAAACTAAATGAACCTCTTTCCTTTATAAACTACCCAGTCTCTGGTATTCTGTTATAGTAACAGCAAATGGATTAACGCAGGTGAGAAAATGATTGGTATATTCCTCCATTTCTTTTCAAAATACTATAAAATACGTATTATTATCTCCACTGAAGAAAAAGACTACCTCCAGAGATGTTAACTTTTTCCAAGTTACATACGTAGTAAGTGAGTAAGAGTCTTACTCTAAATATCTTTTATTTCATCAAACCAGGCTTTCAAAGCAGAGTCTGTGCATCTTTTTAAAAGAAGATAGTCTGTTTTCTCGGTAAATACACAGGAAGTAAATTCAACAAAGAGTAAAGTGTGTAGGTTTCATCACGCAGGTGCCCACGACATGTACTTGAAGCAAAGCTTTGTTCTTTAGTCAGTTATACATAAGGTTGGTTGAGACTATTGAAGTGGTATAGAAAGAATAAGAAACTTAGAGTCAAGAAATTGAGTTTGAAAACTGCTTTTCTCAATACTGACTCTGTTTTGGGGCCAACTGCTTAAATTCTTTAGGTCTCAGTTTCTTTATTGTGAAGTGGGTACAATAATAGCCATTACGTAATAAAGATTAAATAAGACCATGCACAGAAAGCATTTGGCAAATTGCCTATATTTAGTAATAATTAAAATAAATGCAGCAACATGAATCTGAGCTCAGCTCACTCTACTTCAGAGTTTATAAATATTGCTTCAAAGTTGTGATGAGTTCAGCTACTTATTCCTCCGTCTCAACCATACGCAATAATCACCCCCAACTTTAAGTTTTCTCTCCTGCTTCTTGCCATAGCAAAGAGAACATGAATATCAACAGCCCTTCCTCGTAGGAATTCTCCAAACAGCCCATCAGTGTCCCTAGGAACATACTCAACACCCAGAATCCTCCTCACCCTCACAGCCCACCCAACTTCTGTTTCTCTAAAGACATCACTATCTTTCCATGTCCCAAACCCAAAGGCACCTCCTTTTCTCAAGCTCAGATCAGCCGGCTGTAAAGTTCTATTATCGTGTTCTTCAGCGTCTCCTGCACCCATGCTGCCTTCTCCATGTGCTTGGTCACCAGTTGACTTCAGTTTGTCTTATTTAACTTCCTACTAGAGAACAAAAATTTCTGTTTAATAGGCCAGTTATTCTCCTGTTTCTTTTTGCTTCCCTTTGTTCCTCCATTATTTTGCCTTTTTTTTACCTTAGAATTAATATTTCCCATAATTTGGTCCCAAAGATTCCCTTCAAGTTTATGCCGCATGATTCCACCTGTATTCCACTTGCCATCAAGCTATTTCAAACATGGTTTACATTGTTCATCTCTGTGCCACTACCTCTAATGCATTCATAGTTGATTAGCTGGCTAAGCATACACGTGATTTAAATTCCTCCTCACCCATAAAACTACCTGTGCCAATCCTTCCCCTAAAACAATGTGTGTGCATTCTTCCTCCTCCTAACTCCTACCTCATGGGCTTTGAAACCTTCTTGTCGTGCTAATGGTCTTTCTTACATAATTTTTTTATTTGAGTGTCTAGCCCAGTTCTTACAGGGCTCATGCCTTATTACCCACTCAATCCCAAGACCCTGGCACTATGTAAACATTCAGTAATGTTTGCAGGTTTAAACTGAGATGCACAACACAGCATTTCGTTCACCAGTCTCTTAGAACAATTATCATATTGTGTTGTATTCATTGTTATGTTTCTGCCTGTACACTATGCCGAGTTTATTGAGATTAGGAATCACATTTTCATCATCTCTAATTAAGTGGTTACTCAATAAATGTGTATGAATGAACAGGACTCATGATGTGAGTCTGAGTCCCCAACAACTTCACCCATCTAAAAATATCTCCAACACTTCTATTTTCCATCTTCATTGTGAGTGAAAAGCATTCTGTTTATTCTTACAGAAAATATTAAAAAATGAATGCCGAATGTTTACTTTTGATAAAGTGACAGCTCTGGGTGATACTGTTCATGACCTGAATTTCCAAGACCAGAGGCAGCTAACCAAAATGTCCAGCATGAGAATGGCATGAGAATCAGAAAGTCTTCCCAGCTAATTATGTCAGAGCAATGCTGTGTTCATACAACATGATGTTGTGACAACAAATGAGATGACAAATTACACATAGCAGGTGAGGTGAAACACGCTGAGGATATGGAGGTGCACTATCTCTCTTAAAATCATTTCTAGTAAAGAGAATTAATTCAGTGGTTAGTAGCAGCAGGTGAATTATATGATGCTTTAAACTAAAGTAAAATATAGAAAAATATAACTCAGTAGCACATCATTCCATAGTTCCACATCATGGCAGAAATTATTTTTGTGCTCATGTGCAAACTTCCTTCCCCATTTGTGAAAGTGACATAAACATACTGAATTATCTATTTCACTTTTAAATGATCCACTTCATTATGTGGTGATGCAATCTTAATCCGAGATGTTATGATTATAGTAATGGTTTATAGATATATTAAGTCAAAGTTGCCACACTAAAGCATATGGTGTCACATAAGGTGATACATTAATTTGCAGCTACTCAGACAGTGGTAGCTTGAGAGCTCAAACAAGATTCTGCCTCCTTTCATTTTTTTTAGGAAAAAAATCCACAAACAAACCCTTCTACACTATTCTTTATATTTTAACTTAGATGGCTATATAACACATCTATGATGGGATCCTTTGAACTTTATTCTACTTTTATTCTTGGTTCTCAAAGTTTACAGTTGATAACTCAAGGAAATGTAAATTCTCATAATCTTAACAATTTTCTTTAAATCATTTGAAGCTGTGTTTTCTTTATAAAAAATAAAAAAGAAAGAAAGAAAGAAAAACAAACAAACAGGCTGGGTGCCTTGAGTCACACCTGTAATCCCAGCACTTTGGGAGACTGAGGCGGGCAGATCACCTGAGGTCAGGAGTTCAAGACCTGCCTGACCAACATGGTGAAACCTCATCTCTACTAAAAATACAAAATTAGCTGGGCATGGTGGTGCATGCCTGTAATCCCAGCTACTTGGGAGGCTAAGGCAGGAGAATCGCTTGAACCTGGGACAGAGAGGTTGCAGTGAGCCGAGATCGTGTCATTGCACTCGCACACCAGCCTGGGCAACAAGAGCAAAACTCTGTCTAAAAAAAAAAAAAGAAAAAAGAAAACAACAACAACGACAACAAAATACACAGCCTTTATCCTCCCTCACCCCAAAATCATAAATTGGCCTGGAGTATTTCACATTGTAAACTCTGTGCTTCAGAAGCATGTTTTATTTCCTTTCCATGACAGGAGTGTTTTTACCAAGTCAGACTTAAGCCTCCTATGTCAATCAGGTTCAAGGGAGGAGAAAAGCAAATAGATGCCGCATGCAGCTGTTAATGGTTCCCTCCAGGTAAGTTGGGAATATGCTCAGTGTCTGCAAGTACAAAGGCAGCTAGCTACCAGGGCACCATTATGTGCTCAATTTATGACATGCAGAGGATTTGAGGATGCATCCCTAATTGCCTGGGACAAAACATCAGTGCCCAAAAGGATAGTTTTAGCCACCTGTGGCTATTAGGTGAGTGCCACTCCACTCCAGCTCTCCTCTGTTATTAACTGAGCCACACACACACACACACACACACACACACACACACACACACTCTATCATGTGCTCACACGTAAACTCATGAATCTCTATACCATATAGGGCTCTTTCATAGCATATGACAATCTTAAATTGAAAGCCCAAGAGTCCGTTCAGCTCAGCTGCTCAACCTAACGACCTACCCTCAATGGAGGAAAAGAATCCAGTCAGGTGAATAAGTGAGGCTGCAGGCTTCCCACTCCACAACCATGATCCCTATCTTCCTTGGGAACAGAAACCTAACCTTATTTAAGTAGCAAAGTGCCCAGCTAGAGTCTACATTTCTTAGACTTCTTTGTAGCCAGGTGACAAATAAACCTAAGTACAAGTTGCTGGGTGGGACTCTGACAGAAAGCTACTTTAAGAGGGAACAGACAGTTGGCATGTGCTCTTTTTGCTTTTCTCTGCTTTTCTTAGTTGTTGCCTAGAACATATATATATTGGGTGGAGCTACAGCAGCCACTTTGGGAACACCCACACTGTCAGGCCTAGGACCTCTTAAGGAATGCCAATAACCAGTTACCTCTGGATTCTTACTACAAATAACGATGAATATGGTTAAGTCAATGTGGTTGATGTTCTGTTATTAACTGCTCTTGACTGTGAAAAGATCAAGGATGTAAAGCAGAATAAAACCACTGACAGAAGGCATCCCAAGGGAAATCGATTATGTTATCATCAAACAGAATAAAAACACTCAATAATTAAGCAGATTTCTTTCTCAGACATAGATACAAAGAAAGAAAAGGATAACGAAGAAATAAAAACTTTGTGAGAGCCCATCAAAAAGCTAGCTGACAAGAGGTGTCTCTCAGGAAATTAGAAATTACTTGTTAAATGAGTAGGATGATGAGGTCTCAATAGGAATGGAAAAGATATTAAAATTTTGCCAAAAGACATGTCAACAAGAGAGAGTTGCTGGTGCAGACACCATTGAAGATGCAGCGAGAGTTTGCATGTTCATGCTTACGGCTCTGGGAAGTGCTCCAGCAGGAAGGAAGCGGAAATGGTGACCAGGCCTGCAAGCTTGGAGTCAGACTGGCTGCAGTTGAAAGGCAGCTCCACCACAGGTAGGAGGCTCACTTCTTTCATTTGTTAAATGTGGACAATCATGAGATGATGCATCATAGAGCAAAGTAGCACCAGAATGCTGGGGTTCAAATGTCAGTCCCTCTACTTACTAGATGGTAATCCTGGAAAAGTCACTCAACCTTTCTATGACTACTTTTTTATGCCTATAAGATGAAGGGTAATAATAACAGCTACTTTGTAGGATTGTCATGAGGAATAAATTGATTCATGTGTATAAAGCACTTACAGCTGGCATACAGTAAGCACTATATAAGAATTAGTTCTCAATATTATTATCCAGATTGCTAGATAATCTATATATCTTGCTCAGAGCAGTAGGTAACAGACTATAATAAATGGTGAAGACAAAAGAGATAAAAGATGAGGATGAGGACAATTAGGAAAGGGGGAATATCTATAGGCTAGAAAGGCAAGAAGAAGGGAATATAGTGATGCAAGACAAGGGGACATAACATCACTAAGAGATGGTCCAGTATTGCGCGTTAGGACACACTCTACAGATTTTATAAGGGGTAAATTTTCCTTTGCCAGGGAGTAAAAGGGGAGAAGAGAATTTTCCAGGAGTTTATTGAGCCCAAAGGGAGGACATCCAGCAGCATTCTAACCCCTTCTGCTCCAAGAGGAAAATGGCACAGGTGTAGCCCAGGTGTAAACTGGGTCCAGGCTAGAGAAACTGAGAAGTAGAGAATGGATTAGGAGAGAGAAGGTTCGGCAGAAAGAACAAATAATAATAATCCTTTGAGGGTGTGTTTTGGTAATGCCACAGGAAGGACAGCTGAAGAATGCATCTGAGGAGCACTCTGTGACAACCTTGCAGGCTTAGCAAGAGTCCTGCAGGCTGGAGAGGGGACAAGGAGGGACTTGATGATTTCTCCAGTTGAAATAGGCCAGAGGGTCATAAGGGTGGGAGAGAAGAAGGGAAGCGCTGGAATGAGGTCAAGATGACCAGGGAGGGAGCAAATACACTTTTCCCTATGAGGTTGGGTCCCCGAAATTCTATACTCTAGATGCTGTCTGTCCTTCTGGGAAATCAATTACCAATTTTGAACAAATATTTCCACCTGCACCAGACTCAGGATTGGGGCAGTTGGTGTTGGCTGAAGCCAGGAAAAGCATGATGAGGTCCCAAACCAGCATCAGGAAAATGCTTTTAGCTAAATCCCACTAATAGAAATCCATTGTTGGCTTATTTTGTTGAAGTGATAAACCATAGACATGATTCTTTAAACTTTAATTTGGTTAGTTCTTAACTTATGAACACATACAGCAGTTTAGAAATACATTGGAATACCAATCTAAAGTTAAAATCATTGTTTAACTACTTAGAAGTATCAAAAAAATAATTTAAGGAACTATAACAAGAAGATCTAGAGCTTGAGAAGAGCATAGGACACCAACTTAGTAAATAATGAATGTAGAATTTGGCAGTATTAAACCTCCTGGTGAACTAAAACCTAAACATTTCAGGACCACACATATCCTCTTTATTGTGGTACCCCTGGGTTTTCAGACACCAAGACCTCCAGGACTGGACTGGTTGTCATTGCCCTCATATTTTATCTCCTAAATCACATGGATACTTGAGCATATCGCAAAAGTAGGACTGATAAAAGACAAAGTCTGTGCTCTCTAGGAGCAGAACACTGAATTGGAACGAGGTAAGATTGTGGATATTAAACACTCTACGAACAGATCTTTTGGCAGGCAGGATGCAAACTTATGCCAAAGAAGAGGAAAAGATTATTGCTATAAAGAAAAAAACACAAGCAAAGGGAAGAAAATGCCAAGCAATGAAAAAGCCAGAGAAGTCTCAAGGAAAAAGGAAGAATCATCCTCGGTGTCTGTGGGTGGGAGTATTGTGTAATCAGTGATGGGGAGTGGTCCAAGCAAGGTGTTCAAGTGAGAACAGGCACTGAGGTGGGGTAGGGATGTATTTAGAGAAGCATGAGAAAGCACCTGAGTGATGCTGGCCTGCAGAGTTGCAGCTCCTCTCAGGACCTCTGGCTTTCCACTATGACTTCATACATCTCATACTAGGGCTGTACTAAGACTGAAAGGAGAAGAGGGCACTCCTTTCTCATGGATCTTGGACTTCTGCAAAATGAGATCACTCCACAGCCCAGAGTGTTTGCCTCTGGTAAGACAATGCCCTGTGTGCAACGCCCTCTACCCATCCTTGTGCCCATTTGCTGACATCCTCCTACTTCATACACCTGCCTCCTCTTAGCCACTGAGCAGGACACGTTTCAGATCTGGCCATAGGAAAGACAGGGTTGACTGCCTAATGTTTTTGGAATCTGGTCTAACTATTATTGTAACTAGGTTTCCTAGTGTGTTCCATGTCTCTGGGGACATAGAACAAAGTAACAGCTGAGACAGTGGTTCTCACCCAGGACAATTTGCTGCCCAAAAGACATTTGCCAATGTCAAGAGATATTTTTAGTTGTCACAATTGGGGTGAGGGTGCTGCACAGGCCAGGGATGGTGCTAAACATCTTACATGCCCAGGACAACCTCCCACAACCAAGAATTATCCAACCCAAAACGAAACAGTGCTGAGCTGCAGAAACGAAGTTAAGACCATGAAGCCGAGGGTTGCTCAAGGAACATTTAAAATGGTCATGCTGCTTTTACTTAGCCTGAGGATTTTCTTTATTTTTCATATTGAAATCTAAACTTTGCTTTGACTGGTATCTGTCCCTCTTACTTGCTCTCAAATTCCAATTCTGTAGTGATTTTTTGTTACTAAATACAATCCAGAATTAAATCCCCTTTTAACCAAATTTTACCTGTACTCCAGGTCTAAGATATTTCGCTATTTCCTCAAACTAAAAAAGGCCTCCTCCTCCTCCTCCTCAGAGCTCCATGTGGAGACAAAAGTGACTGCATCATGGATGCTAATCTACCACATTGACTTCTGGTTAGCCTAGGCCCGCAAATGCCTCCTGATTCCTACTTCACTTCCTGTCCTTCCTGTAAGAACAAGTGCTCCTGCCTTTAGATCAAGGCAACCCTTAAGTTATTGCACAAATGATAGCCCATAACGCATGAAAAACTCTTGCCTGTTATGGAGGGGTGTCTTCAATTGTCTCTCTAGGGTAGGTGCCCTTTCCCTGTGATATAAGAGCCCTGGGTCTGGGGAGTAATGTTGCAGAGGTCTACCTGTCTTGCTGCTTCCCAAGACCACACTTCCATTCATAAGTGACCCCAGGAAATCGCCCTTTACCAACAAACTGGATGTGTCTTCCTCCTTCTTTGATTTCTCGGCTTTTCCTGGGTTTGGAGGCCACTTGGCATATATGACACTTTCACGGAACACTCTAGTTGATACCTTTTCTATGTTGCCTGCCCTGTTAGGCCTTGTGATGTCACCGGGCATGTGCCGGACTCACTCTCTGCACTTGTGAGTACCAAAGCAGGCATAAACTGCATCAGACCTACCTCTGCATGCCCTTGCTGGGTTTCAATAAACATTTGTTAAAGAAATATTAAATGTCAGAAGCAAACAGCCTCAGTTTTACGAGCAAAAGATCTAATATTGATTGACTTTTCTTAAATTGTGACTCAGGTAAGAAACAACATCACAGTTAACATAACAACTTGATATCAATGGATAGACATACACACTAGATAGTGGCCTATTGCATTTTTTTTTCTCAGAGGCCCTTCTCCATGGATGATTGGTACAGACCGGTCACAGAGAGCTTTAGGTTATCCATAGATCAGGGGTCCAAGGAACTTGCTTTTTAATACAACTCTATAATCTCAAAGTGTTTGGAAATTCACTATGTAGATAATAGCTCTGAAACAAGCTATTAAAGATTCCCAGGAAGAACAAAAGTCTGTACCAAGGAAGAGAAGGGGGACTTCAGAACCCTTGGCACAGCCAGAGCTCCCTGCCTTCCTCTGCAAAGTGGGCAAGCCTGGCTTCCTCCAGGCAGGCAGAATGTGATTGGCCCTGCCCTTATGGCTCCACTCAGCCTCAGTGAGTCCTGGAGTGTGTGTATTAACCATGCCTATTATCTTCTGTATTCTAATACTTTGAAAAAGTGGGGACTTGCTGACTCTGGAAGAACTGCCCCTCCCAGAGCTAGCCAATTCCTAAAGATAGTAAACAACTTGCAAATAAATTCACTTTTTCAAATACAAACCAGCTGACCCAGAGCACACATCATCTCAAACACCTCCTCTAAGGGGCTCTCACATGTTAAGCCACAATCCACCTCCCCCAGTCACCCCAGGCACAGGTACTAGACAACTAGGGACAACCCCTATGCTGCACAGCCCACTAAAGTTATTCAAAGTAGCAGATCCTAGGCCTGCTTGCCCTATTTCACCCCTTCCTTCCAATAGAAATCACAATAAAATCCCTTGCTCAGGTTTCCTTCCAGCTGCCCTCTGCCTCCTGGCTGACCTGATGCTCCCTCATGGGACCCTGTGTGCCATGCCCCTATTATTGGAAACTGTAATACATGGTATTTTCAAAGGCAGTCGTTTCCTGATCTATTGGCCTTATTGTACTTCAATTTTTCTATTAACACACTATATTTTAAAACAGTGGGCTAAGGATGAGGTCAGTCCAGGAATGAAGCAGGATGCTGGGGTGTTAATGCTCTGTTAGGAGCATGGGAATGGGATTTGGTGTCCTCTGCGGAAACCCTTCTCAGATGGTGAAGTGCATGTACCAAGGTTTTGCTTAAGACCCAAGAAAGCAACTCAAATGAGCACAGCAGGAAGGAAGAGAATCAGAGCAGAGTCAGGCATGGGTTTACGGGGCTGACTGAACCGACAGAGGGTGGGAAGGAAAGACAGTGCCACCTGCAGATTGGGGTAGAAAGTGATCCCTGTGCTTGGGTCTTACTCCCCAGGCTCAGGAAGGTGGGATGAACTCAGGGAGCCCAGGTGGGGTCTGAAGTCCCATGGAAGAGCTGTTTCTCATCTGAGGCCCCATTTCTCTGAGGGCTGTGCCTGGGGCAGAGAGTGAGGTAGGAAAAGTTCTTTGGTTTGGGAAATTTCACTTCACTTTCTATTTTGTTTTTTCCTCTTATGTATCTGTCCCTACTTGCCACGGACATTCTTCCCTCTATATTTCTGTGGCTCCTCATTTTTCTGATCCTTACATTCCTTTTCCACTTTCCCCACTTCACCCTGAAAAATGGCTGCTTTGTCCGAGTGAACTGACGTAGCAGGTGCAAGCCTCAGCTTCCTGTCACGGGCGAATTTGCTGAGACCTGCACTGAAGGGTTCCCGACTGTTCATGAGGTCAAGGTCAGCACTGCAATTCAGAAGCTAAAGGTGACTAAACCCTCGTGCTCTCCTGGCTTCACTCCACTAGGCTCTCATTGCAGGCTCTTGTTGCACCTGCCCCTCCCAAGGGGAGCTGGTCTCTGAAGCCCAAGCCCTGCCCTCTGGGTCCCCCCTCTGTGGGATTTCTGTAGCTCCTCTCTTCCGTTCTCCCTCTGGGCAGATGTCTCCCAGCCCAAGCCTGGGACCCTCCTCACCAGCCTCCTGCCTCTCCACGGGGAAATCCTGACACCCAGATCCCTGCCCAAATTCAGCCATAATCTTCCCTCCAAAACCCTCGCCTTCTCCTGAGTTATCTCCTCAGAACCTCTTCCCTCACCCAGACCCTACTCTTCCTTATTCACGTTCCTAACAATTCATGTTCATGGAAAGAAAGGGATGGAGAGGAGGAGGAAGGAGACCCACTACAAGTTCTCTCATCCATCTCAACACCTCCACGTCAGAGAAATGGGTTCTGATGTTGCTAACTCCCAGGTATGGATGCCGAAGTTTATGAAAAATCTAGTTATTGTTACCATCTATGTCATGATCAATCCTTTATTCTTTATCTCAATATTATAGAAACAGGCATCATCATGTGTTTGTTTATTATAGGTTTATAGTTATAGGAGAATAAGCATTTTACAAATTATTTTATTTTACTTTTTAATTGTTTTCTGACTCTGTCACGCAGGCTGGAGTGTAGTGGCACAATCATGGCTTACTGCAGCCTCGATCTCTTGGACACAACTGATTCTCCTACCTCCTAAGTAGCTAGCACTACAGATGCACCCCACCACACCTGGATATAATTTTTTAAAATTAATTTTTAAAAAATGTTTTGTAGGAATGAGGTCTCACTATGTTGCTCAGGCTGGTCTCAAACTCTGGGCCTCAAGTGATCCTCCCACTTCATCCTCCCAAAGTGTTAGAATTACAGGTGTGAGCCACCATACCCGGCCACAAATTATTTTTTAAATTTTATTAAGTTTGATGTTTCAGTGAATAACCCACAAGCCATTTCTTGTTTAATATAGTCCTACAGTTCATATCCACTAACAATTCATGCTCAACCCATATATCACATTATGGGAACCCAAACTCCGAAGTAGGCACAGATTTTCCAGTATGTAGAATGCAACAGCTAGAGAAAACCTATCCCCATGTGCTTCGTCCTGCTGGCTCTTGTGGGAAACTTTTGTAAACATAAATCAGACATAAATCACCCAACAATCAAGAATGGGTTATAAAACTTTATGTAGGCATTCATAAAGGTTGGAGACCATGAAATATTATTTTTCTTTTGATGATACTTATTAAAGATGGGCAGAGTACATACCGAGAATAGTTTCCAGTAGGTGCATCTGACCAGTGGTTGACCCGAAGCAGCAAGCAACTGTGAGGCTGACCATCCCAGCAGTGCCTAACTCTAAAAATGGACACTCACTCCCTACTATGTCATCTCAATCCTGAGCATCAGCTATTTTCTCCATAAATTAAAAGTATTTAAAATTTACATATGACTATTTACCAAATCTCTGCTTGAGAATCCTAACCTTAAAAACACTGAATAAATGAAAATAAGAGATTTATCAACATAAATGAATAAATTATTCTACATAGAATGACAGGTTAAACAAATCAAAGGAAAATTGGACGTGTATTTAGGCAACTTTAATTTTTTTAATGTTATACCAGGATGTAACAATGCTCACACAAATTGATAACAAAATTATTAAGATTCCAAAAAGGAAATAAAGAAAATACATGAAGAGAATTAACCAGGAAGAAATATAAAGGATCAATGAGCACAGGAAAGAAGTCTTTAGTCTTTCATAATCCAAATGGAAAGCAACCATAACAACCCTCTCCTACCCTTATAAATTGATGGTCTTTTTCAAAAGGATAGTGTTTGGTAGGATAAAATGGGAACTTTGATTCACTGCAGATGAGGGACATATCAGCACAGCCTTTTCATAAGGCATTTTGTGTGTAAAGAGGACATTTTGTGTCCTGTCATCATCTTGACTCTGCAATCTTATTCTCACCCCTACCAATGTCACTACAAGGAGGGAGCAATGTCTACCTGGCAAGAGAAAAGCAAAATGTCTCCCTTACAGGGAGAACACTAGACTGTGTTTGGGAGTTGCTATGTGTTTGACTTACTAGCCACAGTATTTTATCCCCTCAGAGCCTTCATCTCCTATTTTATGCCAGCAGGTAATTGGAACATACTTGCCTCTAAAGCATCTCCAGTCATAACCCTGCATCATGCTATTGATTTCATAGTAAATATCTAAGCAAAAGGAGAACTTCAACGCACCTATTTTTGATGTGCTGAGGAGAACCAAGACATTTGAAGCTGCCGTTAACCATTATGGCCAGTCTTGTGCAAAGAGCCTCACACTCCTCCATGCTGTAAAGAAGGAAAAGAGACAAAAATGAGCCATTTCCTGAAGAGGGGAGGGTTGAGTCAAACTTTTCAAAACAAAAAGGAGACAAGATACCATTAGGGCAAATTACTTAATTTTTTTACACAGAAATCTCATGGTAACCAAATCAAAAGCTTTTGAAAACAATAAGGTTTTATTTAGACAGCCAATTTTACAATTAACAAAAAATCAGTATTTTCTTTTTTATTTATTTATTTTTTTATTTTATTATTATTATACTTTAAGTTTTAGGGTACATGTGCACAATGTGCAGGTTTGTTACATATGTATACATGTGCCATGCTGGTGTGCTGCACCCATTAACTCGTCACTTAGCATTAGGTATATCTCCTAATGTTATCCCTCCCCCCTCCCCCCACCCCACAACAGTCCCCAGAATGTGATGTTCCCTTTCCTGTGTCCATGTGTTCTCATTGTTCAATTCCCACCTATGAGTGAGAACATGCGGTGTTTGGTTTTTTGTTCTTGCGATAGTTTACTCAGAATGATGATTTCCAATTTCATCCATGTCCCTACAAAGGACATGAACTCATCATTTTTTATGGCTGCATAGTATTCCATGGTGTATATGTGCCACATTTTCTTAATCCAGTCTATCATTGTTGGACATTTGGGTTGGTTCCAAGTCTTTGCTATTGTGAACAGTGCCACAATAAACATACGTGTGCATGTGTCTTTATAGCAGCATGATTTATAGTCCTTTGGGTATATACCCAGTAATGGGATGGCTGGGTCAAATGGTATTTCTAGTTCTAGATCCCTGAAGAATCGCTACACTGACTTCCACAATGGTTGAACTAGTTTACAGTCCCACCAACAGTGTAAAAGTGTTCCTATTTCTCCACATCCTCTCCAGCACCTGTTGTTTCCTGACTTTTTAATGATTGCCATTCTAACAAAAATCAGTATTTTCTTATACCAGGAAGACCAGCTATAAAATATATAGGAGAGAAGCATTTAGCAATAGTACAAAAATACAAAATAAGAATAATCTTAACAAAGCAATGTGAATGTTTTATGAAAAGAAACAAGGAAGCCTTACTAATAGGCACAAATGAAATATTGAATCAATGGAAGGAGGCATGGAAGAAAAGAAAAGAATGGATATTTTGAAAATGGAAAAACTGTTATAATATGAAAATTAGTGTAATATAAAATAATATTAATATGTTAGTATAAATATTAAATATTACCTTAAGTGTAAACATAAAACATAAGTAAATTAATTATATGTAAAATATAAATAAGTTGTATTTTAATATGGTGCATAATATAAAATATAATACCATAAATAACATTTTAATGTGTAATTATAATTTAAATTATATTTTGACATTTCAATTTGAAATATGTTACAAAATTGGTAATCTATAATTATATTATTATAATAATGAAAATATATTATAATACAGATATAGTAAATCTAATCAAAATTTTACATTTATCACTCCCATGAGAAAATTTTAAAATAATTATAAAGTATACCTTTAAAATTACTTAGTGAAAGGAAGAAAAAAAATGAAAGAGGAATCATGAAAGAAGACTTGCTCCAGAAAACATAAATATTTTCTATACAACTAAAATAATTGCAATTCAGTAATACACTAAAGAATTACAAGGAACAAGATGTTACTATCTTATATACATAATGATTTGAATATGGGAAGATATTTTCTAAGCAGAAAAGCAATGGAAGAAGCTATTAAGGGATTTGTAGTCGTTGTGTCTTAACACAGCAAACTAGCATTAAAAAATTCCAGCCAGGCGTGGTGGCTCATGCCTGTAATCCCAGCACTTTGGGAGGCCGAGGTGGGTGGATCACCTGAGGTCAGGAGTTCGAGACCAGCCTAGCCAACATGATGAAACCCTGTCTCTTCTAAAAGTACAAAAATTTAGCCAGGTGTGGTGGGGGGCACCTGTAATCCCAGCTACTCAAGAGGCTGAGGCAGGAGAATCACTTGAACCCGGGAGGCGGAGGTTGCAGTGAGCCGAGATTTTGCCACTGCACTCCAGCCTGGGTGAGAAGAGTAAGACTCCATCTCAAAAAAAAAAGAAAGAAAAAAATTCCAATAGACCTACTGGGTAGAGGTTGATATACTTACTATAAAGAACTAATATATGTTAGTTTAAAACAAAATAATAAAAATATAATAGAGAAAAAAGGGTAAATAACATGTAGAGACCATTCAAAGAACTGCTCGTGGGTAATAAACATGCCAACAAATTATAAAATATAAACCATTAAATCAAATTGATTTTAAAACTATTTTCTTGCTGGAAAAGTGTTCATGTGTACTTTTGTGTATTGTAGAGAAAAACGAGGGGTTTTTATTTCCAATCGTCACTTCAAAAACAATGAGTTCTCAAATAAAAAAAAAAATACCCAGAAAGTTAAGGCCATTTTCTCAGTAATTCTCAATATGTCATCTCATATATTGCTGGTGGGAGTAAAAATTGGCATAACTTTTTGAACACCAATTTGGCAGTAATTACTTTCCTAAGAACTTACCCTAGAAAACACTGAAAATATAAATGCATGTAACAACTTATTTATAATAGTAAGCATCTGGAAACAGGTTAATGTTTCACAGTAGGAGAATATATCACTCATTTAAGTAAGAGTTCATCCATGTGTTAGCTATTAAAATGAGGTTCACTAAAGTCAATTAATCACATGGAGAAAAGTTCATAGTATAGCAATGGTAAAATGACAATGTGTATTCAGAGAATTGCACAGGTATGTTAAAAAACTACCTAGTAAGAAAAACACACAAAAAAGTATGACTGTCAATATCTCAAAAATGAAATTAATGATGGATTTTCTTTACTTATTTTACCATTTTGCATAACCAAATGCTCTACAGGAAGCATGTGTTATTTATATTATTGGAGAACAGTCATAAAGCAGTCTCCTAGGTGGGTTAATGGGCATTCAGATCAAGATATTTCTCAGCCTTCCATGCACCTCAATGTGGACATGCAACAAACTCAGCTCAATGGAATGCACAATTTCTGGGTCATGTTGAAATACAGCAAGCCACTTGACCTGGATTTTGTTTTTCTCCACTTCCCTTGAGCTAGGATGTAGATACGGTGCTGATGAGTCAACATCAACCATGATGATGGTGATGGTGGCACGGTGGAAAGAACCCAAGGCCTTGGTTGGCCTGATGATGCACAGCCCACTGACATGAATTTAGCGAGAGGAAAAAATGTGTCTTGTCTGGGCCACTGTAAGTTGAGGTTTCTTTGTTATAGTTGCTTAGCATGAAGTCCAAGAGATACATGTCATAAATTTTCCAAATATGCTTTATATATTTTCCTGTACAAACACATATTTCTTTAATTAATTTCAATTTAAAAGTAATCATCTTATGGGTGCACTGTAGGTACTCTAATTAAAGAGGTAGAATGTTAAGTCACTTATATATTAGTTTCTTAAACATAGTTCAGACAAGTGGAGGTCTGATATGGTTTGTGTTGGTGTCCCCACCAAAATCTCATATCAAATTGTGATCACCTGTGTTGGAGGAGGGGCCTGGTGGGAGGTAACTGGATCATGGTGACCGATTTCCCCCTTGCTTTTCTCATGATAGTGAGTTCTTGTGAGATCTGTTTGTTTAAAAGTGTGTAGCACTTCCCCTTTCACTCTCTTCCTCCTGCTCTGGCCATGTAAGACGTGCCCACTGCCCCTTTGCCTTCTGCCATGATTGTAAGTTTCCTGAAACCTCCCTAGCCATGCTTCCTGTACAGCCTGTGGAACCGTGAGCCTGTTAAACTTCTTTTCTCTATGGCAGTGTGAAAAGAAACTAATACAGAAAATTGGTACAGACAGAGGGGCATTGCAATAAAGATACCTGAAAATGTGAAAGCAGCTTTGGAACTGGATAATGGGCAGAGGTTGGAACAGTTTGGAGGGCTCAGGAGAAGATGGGAAAATAAGGGAGTTTGGAACTTCCTAGAGGCTTGTTAAATTGCTGTGACCAAAATGCTGATAGTGATACAGACAATAAGTCAAGGGTGAGGAGATCTCAGATAGAGATGAGAAACTTATTGGAAACTGGAGCATAGTTCAGTTTTGTTATGCATGAGCGAAGACATGATCTGAAATTAAAATTTTTATTTAAAAGGGAAACAGAGCATAGAAGTTTGGAAAATTTGCAGCCTGACATCATGGTAGAAAAGAAAAACACATTTTCTGAGGAGGAATGGCTGAAGAAATTTGCATAAGTAAAGAAGAGCTGAATGTTAATAGCCAAGACAATGGGGAAAATGCCTCAAAAGCATTTCAGAGACCTTCTAGGCAGCCCCCCTCGCATCATAGGCCTGGAAGCCTAGGAGGGAAGAATGATTTTGTGGGCTAGGCCCAGGGCCCCACTGCCCTGCATAACCTCAGGACACTGCTCACTGTGTTGCAGCTGCTCCAGCTCCAGCCATGGTTAAATTGTCCCAGATAAATCCCAGGCTACTGGTCCAGAGAGTGCAAGCAGTAAGCCTTGGTGGCTTCCACATGGCAGTAAGCCTGCGGATGCACAGAGGGCAAGAGTTGAGGCTTAGGAGCCTCCACCTAGATTTCAGAGGATGTATGGAAACACCTGGCTGTCCAAACAGAAGTCTGCTGCATGGACGTGGCTCTCGTGGAAAACCTCTACTAGGGCAGTGTAGAAGAGAAATGTGGGATTTGAGCACCCACACAGAGTCCCCACTGGGGCAGTGCCTAGTAGAACTGTGAGAAGAGGGCTACCACCCTCCAAACCACAGAATGGTACATCCACTGACAGCTTGCACTGCGCTCCTGGAAAAGCCACAGGCACTCAATGCCAGCCCTTGAAAGCAGCCTTGGGAGCCGAGCCCCACAGAACCACAGGGGCGGAGCTGCTCAAGGCCTTGCAATCTACCCCTTGCTTCAGTGTGGCCTGAATGTGGGACATGGAATCAAAGGAGATTATTTTGGAGCTTTAAAATTTAATGACTACTCTGCTGGGTTTTGGGCTTGCTCAGGGCCTGTAGCCTCTTTCTTTTAGCTGATTTCTTCCTTTTTGTTCAGGTGTATTTGCCCAATGTCTGTACTCTCATTGTATCTTGGAAGTAACTAATTTGTTTTTTATTTTACAGGCTCATGCAGAAGGGCCTTGACTTTTCTCAGATGAAACTCTGGACTGTGGACTTTTGAGTTCATGCTGAAATGAGTTAAGACATGGGGGAATCTTGAGAAGGGATGATTGTGTTTTGCAGTGTGAGAAAAACATGAGATATGGGAGAGGCCAGTTATGAAATAATATGATTTAGATTTGTGTCCCTGCCCAAATATCATGTCAAATTGTAATCCCCAATGTTGGTGGAAGGGCCTGGCCGGAGATGATTTGATCATGGGGCAGGTTTCCCTGTTGCTATTCTTGTGATAGTGAGTGAGTTCTCATGAGATCTGGTTGTTAACAAATGTGTAGCACCTTCCCCTTGACACTCTTTCTCCTTCTCTGGCCACGTAAGATGTGCTAGCTTCAAAAAATAAACACAAAATTTCCTGTATGGCTGGATAATCTAATTAGTACAGAAATATGGCTAGGCAATGCAGATATTTCAGGAGTTATATTGGAATTCATGATGTTGGATGTGTGAGAAAAAAGTAGTGTTGGTCATTCTTGATTATACTGATTTCAACTCCCTTAGTAAGAAAAGTAGTACGCAAGGTTCTTATCCTCAGTTTCCTGCTCCATGCTTTACCAAGATTCCCTGGGGTAAGGAACCAGAAGAGGCAATGATAAATAAACTCAAAATTCAGGGGAAAATGTCCAATACGAGACTTTTTTTCAACAAAGTCTGCCATTTTAGAATCACAGGATAAATCATAAGCTTCCCCACTCTTCATCGACAGTGAGTAATTTTGACCTTTGTACTGCATGGATATGGACAGATTTATGGAAATGAATATATATATATTTAATGTGAAACCAAATGAATAGGAGGATTTAAAAGAGAAATTGCAATGATATGCAGTCTTTCTGAGAACAATCTAATAATTATATGAGAAATAAATGAAATTTTTGTCATGACACCAGTTTATCCAATCTTAGAACCTCTGCATGAACATGAAGGCTCATGTTCTCATGCCAGCAAACTCCAGCAAAATAAATACAAGAATGTAGAGAGTTTCTAGAACTGGCAAAGCAAAATGATCGTTTTAAGTAAACACATGTATGCATTATGATAAAGTAGAAGGTTTATCAAATTTAATTCATTTCAATGTAAAATTTTATTTTCTGAAGTAAAATACAAGAAAAACAACAACAACAACAACAAATCCCAGGGTAGGACTTCCAACTAGGGTCAAATGAAGAAACTGGTAAATTGTTTTCTCAAAAAGCAATGATGAATCTGGACAAAATTAACAAAAATAGCCATTTCAAAATTCTGAAAATTGAACAAAAAGCATACCACAATCTAAGAAGCACTTTTAGCTGACAAATTGCTAAACTTAGGATAAGAAGACTGATAATCAGTGGCATTCCAGCCATAGGCTGCTCCCCACTCTCCCTAGTTTCGAAAACATGCAACTACTGGCAGGAAGGGCAGACCATGAGGATCAGCAGCTTCTCTGCCCCAGCTGAAGAGGATGCAAACAATTTGGACCATTGGGTAATGCCCAGGTCCAGTGACACTGTTGATATACCTGATTATTTGGGAGCCAAACAAACAGAAAAAGCCAATTCCTCCAGTATCTGGCCTCTACTAGACTGGAATTACGTGGATGTAGCATGCATATAGCTGCGGCTGCATGTATGTGCAGCTGAGATTGGAGAGGGCCCAGGCCAGCCACATGTTCTTTGTGAACCCAGAGGCTGTCCACATGCACATAGGAGAGACACAAAAGGAGCCAGTAAAGTTAGGCTAACATGAAAATAGCCTGAACTTCTAATTTCTTCACTACCCACACACAGATACATTTGCAAAGACAAAAACCTTGTTGGCCTCAGGTGGTTGAGCACAACTTGTGCCCAGTCACTCACTAGCAACTAGCCTATGCATAAACAGAGTGACTCCTATGAGCCAGTCTTAAAAAACAAACTGGCTGGGCATGGTGGCTTATGCCTGTAATCCCAGCACTTTGGGAAGCCGAGGTGGGTGGATCACCTGAGGTCAGGAGTTCCAGACCAGCCTGACCAACATGGTGAAACCCTGTCTCTACTAAAAATACAAAATTTAGCTGGGCATGGTGGCAGGCGCCTGTAATCCCAGCTACTTGGGAGGCTAAGGCAGGAGAATCACTTGAACCCACAAGGCAGACGTTGCAGTAAGCAGAGATTGCATTGCTGTACTCCAGCCTGGGCAACAGAATGAGACGGTCCAAAAATAAAAATAAAAAATAAGAAAATGAGTAGAGGAGTAGGTAGCTACTCACTAAAGGAGAGTTTTCACAGATTTATCTCAGGCAAATAAGTAAGACACAAACACAAAATAAACAAATAAACTTTTTACAAATTGGCAACAATAACCACCACAGGGGAGGGAGAATCAGAATCCAGACCTGCTACAATTATCTAAAATGTGCAGTTCTCAATATAAATTTTTAAGGCATGCAAAGAAACAAGAAAGTTTCTCCCCATAACTGGGGAGGAAAAAGCAGTCAAAAGAAATTGTTCATAAGTGTTCTCAGATGCTAGATTTAGAAGAAAAAATTTAAATGCAGCTATTATAAACATCATCAAAGAACTAACGAAAACCAAGTTTAAAGAATTAAAGAGAGAGCTGGCAAGATGGCCGAATAGGAACAGCTCCAGTCTGCAGCACCCAGAGAGATCGACGCAGAAGGTGGGTGATTCTGCATTTCCAACTGAGGTACCCGGTTCATCTCATTGAGACTGGTTGGACAGTGGGTGCAGCCCATGGAGGGTGAGCTGAAGCAGGGTGGGGCATTGCCTCAACCGTGGAAGTGCAAGGGGTCAGGGGATTTCCCTTTCCTAGCCAAAGGAATCTGTGAGAGACCGTACTGGTAGGAACGTGCACTCCGGCCCAGATACTGCGCTTTTCCTGTGGTCTTTGCAACCAGCAGGCCAAGAGATTTCCTCCAGTGCCTGGCACCTGGCTCAGCGGGTCCCACCCCCACAGAGCCCAGCAAACTAAGATCCACGGGCTTGAAATTCTTGCTGCTAGCACAGCAGTCTGAGGTGGACCTGGGATGCTCAAGCTTGGTTGGGAGAGGGGCATCCGTCCTTGCTGAGGCTTCAGTACGCGGTTTCACCCTCAAAGTGTAAACAAAGCCCTCAGGAAGTTCGAACTGGGTGGAGCCCACTGCAGCTCAGCAAGGCTAAGTGTCTCTCTAGATTCCTCCTCTCTCGGCAGGGCATCTCTGGAAAAACGGCAGCAGCCCCAGTCAGGGACTTATAGATAAAACCCCCATCTCCCTGAGACAGAGCACCTGGGGGAAGGGGTGGTTGGGGGTGCAGCTTCAGCAGACTTAAACGTCCCTGTCTGACAGCTCTGAAGACAGCAGTGGTTCTCCCAGCACAGTGTTCGAGCTCCGATAAGGGACAGACTGCCTCCTCAAGTGGGTCTCTGACCCCTGTGTATCCTGACTGGGAGATAGCTCCCGGTAGGGGCTGACAGACACCTAATACAGGAAAGCTCTGGCTGGTATTTGGTAGGTGACCCTCTGGGATGAAGCTTCCAGAGGAAAGAACAGGCAGCAATCTTTGCTGTTCTGCAGCCTCCACCACTGACACCCAAACAGGGTCTGGAGCGGATCTCCAGCAAACTCCAGCAGACCTGCAGCAGAGGGGCCTGACTGTTAGAAGAAAAACTAACAAACAGAAAGGAATAGTATCAACATCAACAAAAAGGACGCCCACTCAGAGACCACATCTGAAGGCCACCAACATCAAAGACCAAAGGTAGATAAATCCATGAAGATGGGGTGAAACCAGAGCAAAAAGGCTTGAAAATTCCAAAAACCAGAACACCTCTTCTCCTCCAAAGGATCACAACTCCTCGCCATCAAGGGAACAAAACTGGATGGAGAATAAGTTTGACGAACGGACAGAAGTAGGCTTCAGAAGGTGGGTAATCACAAACTCCTCCGAGCTAAAGGAGCAAGTTCTAACCCAATGCAAGGAAGCTAAGAACCTTGAAAAAAGGTTAGATGAACTGCTAACTAAAATAATCAGTGTAGAGAAGAATATAAATGACCTGATGGAGCTGAAAAACACAGCAAGAGAACTTCGTGAAGCATGCACAAGTATCACTAGCTGAATTGATCAAGTGGAAGAAAGGATATCAGAGACTGAAGATCAATTCAATGAAATAAAGCAAGAAGACATGATTAGAGAAAAAGAGTGAAAAGAAATGAAGAAAGCATCCAAGAAATATGGGACTATGTGAAAAGACCAAATCTACATTTGATTGGTGTACCTGAAAGTGATGGGGAGAATGGAACCAAGTTGGAAAACACTCTTCAGGATATTATCCAGGAGAACTTCACAAACCTAGGAAGGAAGGTCAACATTCCAATACAGGAAATACAGAGAACACCACAAAGATATTCCTTGAGAAGAGCAACCCCAAGACACATAATCATCAGATTCACCAAGGTGGAAATGAAGGAAAAAATGTTAAGGGCAGCCAGAGAGAAAAGTCGGGTTACCCAAAAAGGGAAGCCCATCAGACTAACAGTGGATCTCTCTGCAGAAACCCTACAAGCCAGAGGAGAATGGGGGACAATATTCAGCATTCTTAATGTACAGAATTTTCAACCTAGAATTTCATATCCAGCCTTTACAGACAAGCAAATCCTTTACAGACAAGCAAATGCTGAGAGATTTTGTCACCACCAGGGCTGCCTTACAAGAGCTCCTGAAGGAAGCACTGAACATGTAAAGGAACAACTGGTATCAGCCACTGCAAAAACATACCAAATTGTAAAGACCATCGATGCTATGAAGAAACTGCATCAACTAACAGGCAAAATAACCAGCTAGCATCATAATGATAGGATCAAATTCACACATAACAATATTAACCTTAAATGTAAATGGGCTACGTGCCCCAATTAAAAGACACAGACTGGCAAATTAGATAAAGAGTCAAGACCCATGGGTGTGCTTTATTCAGGAGACCCATCTCATGTACAAAGACACAAAATAGGCTCAAAATAAAGGGATGGAGGAATATTTACCAAGCAAATGGAAAGCAAAAGAAAGCAGAGATTGCAATCCTAGTCTCTGATAAAACAGACTTTAAACCAACAAAGATCAAAAGAGACAAAGAAGGCCATTACATAATGGTAAAGGGATCAATGCAACAAGAAGAGCTAACTATCCTAAATATTTATTCACCCAACACAGGAGCACCCAGATTCATAAAGCAAATTCTTAGAGACCTACAAAGAGATTTATACTCCCACACAATAATAGTAGTAGACTTTAACACCCTACTGTCAATATTAGACAGATCACTGAGACAGAAAATTAACAAGGATATCCAGGACTTGAACTCAGCTCTGGACCAAGCAGACCTAACAGACATCTACAGAACTCTCCACCCCAAATCAACAGAATATACATTCTTCTCAGTACCACATCATGCTTATTCTAAAATTGACCACATAATTGGAAGTAAAACACTCCTCAGCAACTGCAAAAGAACGGAAATCATAACAGTCTCTCAGACCACAGTGCAATCAAATTAGAACTCAGGATTAAGAAACTCACTCAAAACCGCACAACTACATGGAAACTGAACAACCTGCTCCTGAATGATTACTGGGTAAATAACAAAATGAAGGCAGAAATAAAGATGTTCTTTGAAACCAGTGAGAACAAAGGCACAGTGTACCAGAATCTCTGGGACACATTTAAAGCCGTGTGTAGAGGGAAATTTATAGCACTAAATGCCCACAAGAGAAAGCTGGAAAGATCTAAAATTGACACCCTAACATCACAATTGAAAGAACTAGAGAAGCAAGAGCAAACAAATTCAAAAGCGAGCAGAAGACAATAAATAACTAAGATCACAGCAGAACTGAAGGAGATAGAGACACAACAAATCCTTCAAAAAATCAATGAATCCAGGAGCTGCTTTTTGAAAAGATCAACAAAATAGACAGACTACTAGCCAGATTAATAAAGAAGAAAAGAGAGAAGAATCAAATAGATGCAATAAAAAATGATAAAGGGGATACCACCACTGATCCCACAGAAATACAAACTACCATCAGAGAATACTATAAACACCTCTATGCAACTAAACTAGAAAATCTAGGAGAAATGGATAAATTACTGAAATAATATACACCCTCCAAAGACTAAACCAGAAAGAAGTCAAATCCCTGAATAGACCAATAACAAATTCTGAAATTGAGGCAGTAATTAATAGCCTACCAACCAAAAAAAGTCCAGGACCAGACGAATTCACAGCCAAATTCTACTAGAGGTACAAAGAGGAGCTGGTACCATTCCTTCTGAAACTATTCCAATCAATAGAAAAAGAGGGAATCCTCTGTAACTCATTTTATGAGGCCAGCATCATCCTGATACCAAAACCTGGCAGAAAAAGAACAAAAAAAGAAAATTTTAGGCCAATATCCCTGATAAACATTGATGCGAAAATCCTCAATAAAATACTGACAAACTGAATCCAGCAGCACATCAAAAAGCTTATCCACCACAATCAAGTCAGCTTCATCCCTGGGATGCAAGGCTGGTTCAAAATATGCAAATCAATAAACATAATCCATCACATAAACAGAATCAACGACGAAAACCACATGATTATCTCAATAGATGCAGAAAAAGCCTTCGACAAAATTCAACAGCCCTTCATGCTAAAAACTCTCAATAAACTAGGTATTGATGGAACATACTGCAAAATAATAAGATTATTTATGAAAAACCCACAGGCACTATCATATTGAATGCGCAAAACCTAGAAGCATTCTCTTTGAAAACCAGCACAAGATGAGGATGCCCTCTCTCACCACTACTATTCAACATAGTGTTGAAAGTTCTGGCCAGGGCTATCAGGCAAGAGAAAGAAATAAAGCATATTCAGTTAGGAAAAGAGGAAGTCAAATTGCCTCTGCTTGCAGTTGACATGACTATATATTTAGCAAACCCCATCATCTCAACCCTAAATCTCCTAAAGCTGAGAGGCAACTCAAGCAAAGTCTCAGGATACAAAATCAATGCGCAAAAATTACAAACATTCCTATATACCAATAACAGACAAACAGAGAGTCAAATCATGAATGAACTCCCATTCACAATTGCTACAAAGAGAATAAAATTCATAGGAATACAACTTACAAGGAATGTGAAGTACCTCTTCAAGGACAACTACAAACCACTGCTCAAGGAAATAAAAGAGGACACAATCAAGTGAAAAAAACATTCCATGCTCATGGATAGGAAGAATCAATATCATGAAAATGGCCATACTGTCCAAAATAATTTATAGATTCAATGCTATCCCCATCAAGCTACCACTGACTTTCTTCACAGAATTGGAAAAAAAAAACCACTTTAAATTTCATATGGAACCAAAAAAGAGCCCGCGTAACCAAGACAATCCTAAGCAAAAAGAACAAAGCTGGGGGCATCACGCTACCTGACTTCAAACTATACTACAAAGCTATGGTAACAGAAACAGCATGGTACTGGTACCAATACAGATATATAGACCAAGGGAACAGAACAGAGGCCTCAGAAATAACACCACACATCTACAACCATCTGATCTTTGACAAAACTGGCAAAAACAAGCAATGGGGAAAGAATTCCCTATTTAATAAATGGTGTCGGGAAAACTGGGTAGCTATATGCAGAAAGCTGAAACTGGATCACTTCCTTACACCTTATAGGAAAATTAACTCAAGATGGATTAAAGACTTAAATGTAAGACCTAAAACCATAAAAACCCTAGAAGAAAACCTAGGCAATACCATTCACGACATAGGCATGGGCAAAGACTTCATGACTAAAACACCAAAAGCAATGGCAACAAAATCCAAAATTGACAAATGGTATCTAATTAAACTAAAGAGCTTCTGCACAGCAAACGAAACTACCATCAGAGTGAACAGGCAACCTACAGAATGGGAGAAAATTTTTGCAATCTTTCTATCTGACAAAGGGCTAATATCCAGAATCTACAAAGAACTTAAACAAATTTACAAGAAAAAAAGAAACAACCCCATCAAAAAGTGGGCAAAGGATATGAACAGACACTTCTCAAAAGAAAACATTTATGCAGCCAACAAACATATGAAAAAAAGCTCATCATCACTGGTCATTAGAGAAATGCAAATCAAATCCACAATGAGATACCATCTCAGGCCAGTTAGAATGGTGATCATTAAAAAGTCAGAAAACAACAGATGCTGGAGAGGATGTGGAGAAATAGGAACACTTTTGCACTGTGGGTGGGAGTGTAAATTAGTTCACCAATTGTGGAAGACAGTGTGGCAATTCCTCAAGGATCTAGAACTAGAAATACCATTTGACCCAGCAATCCCATTACTGGGTATATACCCAAAGGATTACAGATTATTCTACTATGATGACACATGCACACATATGTTTACTGAGGAACTGTTCACAAAAGCAAAGACTTGGAACCAACCCAAATGCCCATCAATGATAGACTGGATAAAGAAAATGTGGTACATATACATCATGGAATATTATGCAGCCATAAAAAAGAATTAGTTCATGTCCCTTGCAGGGACATGGATGAAGCTGGAAATCATCATTCTCAGCAAAGTAACACAAATCAGAAAACCAAACACCACATGTTCTCACTCATAAGTGGGAGTTGAACAATGAGGACACATGGACACAGAGAGCATCACACACCGGGGCCTGTTGCGGGGGTGGGAGGCTGGGTGACGGATAGCATTAGGAGAAATACCTAATGTAGATGACAGGTTGATGGGTGCTGCAAACCACCATGGCACATGTATACCTATGTAACAAACCTGCACGTTCTGCACACATACCCCATAACTTTAAGTATAATAATAAAAAATAAAAAGAATTAAAGAAAAGTCTGACAACCACATTAGTAAGTGGGGATTCTGAAGAAGGGGATAAAAATTATAAAAAAAATAAATCAGTTAAAGATTACAAGAAATTAAGGAAAAATTCACTAGAGGGGTCAACACCAGATTCAAAATGGCAGAGGAGTCAGTGAACACATAGATCAATAAAGATTATCCAATCCAAAAATAGAAAAAAACAAGACTAAAAAAAATGAGCAAGAACTCAGACTTGTGCGATAAGATCAGAGTTTCAACATACACGTAATGGAAGACCAAAAGAAAAGGAAAGATAGATAGGACCAGAAAAAGTATTTGAGTAAATAATGGCCAAAATTTTCTCACATTTTTCATATGGACAGATATGCGTCAGAAATGACAATTGTATGGATTACTATTTAAGACTGTGGATATGTCTTTTTGATATATTTTCTTATCTTCTTTAAAAGATTTAAAAGTGTATAAAGTGAAACTTAAAATATGCCTTATTGGATTTATAGCATATAAAATGCAATATATATGGTAATAATAGCACAAAGAAAAAGGGAGGAAATAGAGCCATATTAGGGCAAGATTACAACACTTTTCTAGAATTAAGTTAGCATCAAGACGTATACTATCATCCTTAGACTAGCCAGTAAGAACATAACTAAAAAAAATAGATAAAACATTAAATACAGTATACTTCAAATTATTCATTTAATATATAAGGCTGCCAAGTAGAAACAGATACAAGAAACACAGGAGACATTATGTAAAAAATAGCAAAACAGTCAATGTTACTTCAGCCATATCAATAATTACATTAAATGTGGGACAGTTTAAATACCTCCCACAAAAGGCAGACATTGTCAGATTGGGAAAAAAAAAAACAATATCCAACTATACACAATCTATAGGAAACACTCCTATTCAAAGACACAAATTATTTGAAAGTAAAAGAATATGAAAAGATATACCACACAAACATTATCCAAAAGACAGAGGCAATGGCTATTTTAAGAAACAAAATAGGATTTAAGATAAAACATACTGCTAGAGTAAAACAGAGACATTTCATAATGATAAGAAAGTCAAAATATTAGTATGATAGCAATTAAGAATGCATATTCACCTAACTACACAGACTCCAAATATATGAAGCAAAAACTGACAGAATCTAAAGAAGGAAAAGAAAAATGTAACAATTATACTTGAATATTTCAATATCTTATTTTCAGTAATTGATAGAATACCCAGGAAAAAATTCCCAAGAATACAGAATACTTAAACAACACTGTCAAGCTAACTTGCTGACTTGCTGTATATACAATATTCCATCCAACTACTACAGAATACATATTCCTTTGCATAGACAATTCTCTAGGATAGACCATATGTTAAGCCTGGAGTAAAAAACTGCAGCCCATTGGCTAAATCCAGCCTGCCACCATTTTGTGGGGGATGGGGGAGAGGAACAAATAAAATTTTATTGGAATACAACCACAATTATGCATTTACCTAATACTGGTGGAAGCTTTCACACTACACAGTGGAGTTGGATACTGCAGTACACACCATACGACTTGCAAAACCAAATACTCAGTAATGGGATTGCTTGGTCAAATGGTATTTCTAGTTCTAAATTGATAAACTGAATGTAATCAAAATTTAAAATATTTGCACTTCCAAAGACATTATTAATAAAATGGAAAGACAGCCATAGACTGGAAATACATATTTGCAAATCATTTATCCAGCAAGGGACTTCTATTCAGAATATAGGAATATCTGCTACATAAAAAGAACTATTACAATTCAAAAATAATAGATAAAAAACAATTAAAATATGGTGTTTTATAAAAAAAAAACTGTAACCCCTCTGGTAGGCCATTAAAAAGTCATAACAAATTTAAAATGATGGAAATCATACAACTTATTTTATCTAATGACAACCAAATTAAATCAGAGATGAATAACAGAAAAAAAAATCTCTTAAAAATCTCCCAGTATCTGAAAATTGAATGACACTTCTAAATAAACTAAGGGTCAAAGAAGTAATCACAAGAGAAATTGAAAAATATTTCAAGATAATGAAAAATTTTATAATAGAAGGAAAAAGCTGAAGGAATAACACTTACTGTTTTCAAAACTTAATAGAAAACAACCATAATCAACATGATATTATTGGGTGAGAAAATAAGCATACATATCAATGGATAATAATTGAGAGTCCAAAAATAAATCATACAATAAATAATATAATAAAGGTGCTATGACAATTCAGTGGGATAAAAGATAATCTTTTCAAGGAAGAGTGCTGAAATAATTGGATATTAACATGCATAAAAGTGAATTTATATCCTTTTCTCATACTATACACAAAACTTAGCTTGAAATAGATCAAAGACTTAAATATAAGAGCCAAAATTCTAAAATTTTTAGAAAAAAAAGATAGAAGAAAATCTTTAGGACTTCATTTGAACAAATAGTTCTTAGATGAGACACCAAAAGCACAAACCATATAAAAATAAATTGATAAACTGAATGTAATCAAAATTTAAAATGTTTGCACTTCGAAAGACATTATTAATAAAATGGAAAGACAGCCATAGACTGGAAATACATATTTGCAAATCATTTATCCAGCAAGGGACTTCTATTCAGAATATAGGAATATCTGCTACATAAAAAGAACTATTACAATTCAAAAATAATAGATAAAAAACAATTCAAATATAAAGGATCCTTACAAAAATTAACATACTCTTACCATCCGATCCAGCAATCACATTCCTTGGTATTTACCCAAAGGAGTTGAAAATATGTTCACACAAAAAACTGCACACGGATCCTTAAGCAGCTTTATTCAAAATTGTCAAAACTTGGAAGCAACCAAGATGTGGTTCAGCGGATGAGTGGATAAATAAGCTGTAGTACATCCAGATAGTGGAATATGACTCAGGACTGAAATGAAATGAGCTATCAAGCCATGAGAAGACATGGGAGAAACTAAATGAAAAAAGTCAACCTGAAAAGACTACATACTATATGATTCCAACTATATGGCATTGTGGAAAAGGTAAAACTATGGAGACAGTAAAAAGATGAGTGGTTACCAGGGGTTAGGCAGGAGGGAGAGATGAATAGGTGGAACACAGAAAATTTTTAGGGCAGAGAAACAATTCTATCTGATACTATAATGGTGGATTCTTATTAGATATTTGTCCAAACCCATAAAATGTCCAACATCAAGAGAGAACCCTATGTAAATTGGATTGGGGTGGTAATGTGCTGTCAATGTAGGCTCATCAATTTTAATAAATGTATCACTCTGGTAATGTATGCTGATAATAGGGAAGGATATGCATGTGTGAAGGCAAGGAGGGATTTAAAAAATTTCTGTACCTTCCTCTCAATTTTTCAGTGAACCTAAAACTATTCTAAAGTATCAAGCCATTTTTAAAAAATGGAGGATGGAGGAGATATTGGAATAAAAATTTCACTAAAGAAGTAATACAAATAACCAATAGGCACATGAAAAGATTCTAACAGCGTTAGTCCTTAGGAAAATGTGAATTAAAACCCCACTTCACTAGGATGCCTATAATGAAAAAAGACAGACAGTAGTGACAAGGATGTGGAATAAAGGAGACTCATCATTGTTGCTGGGAACATATACTGATAAGGCCAATTTGGGAAATAACTCTGCAGTTTCTTAAAGTCTCAAATACAACTTACTATTCAATCTAGCAACTTGACTCAGAAAAATCTAAAAAAATTAAAACATGTCTATACATACAAAGACATTTATATGACTGTTCATAACATATTATTCATAATAGCAAAACACTGGAAACAACCCAAATGCTTATCAACTGGTGAATGGATAAATAAAAGTGGTATAGCTATAAAATGGGATACCGTTTGGAATGAAAAGGAGCAACCTATTGACATAAAACGCAATGGATAGCCTTTAAAAGTGTTGCCATAGGCCGGGCATGGTGGCTCACGCCTGTAATCCCAGCACTTTGGGAGGCCCAGGCGGGCGGATCACAAGGTCAGGAGATCGAGACCATCCTGGCTAACACGGTGAAACCCCGTCTCTACTAAAATACAAAAAATTAGCCAGGCTTGGTGGCAGGTGCCTGTAGTCCCAGCTACCCGGGAGGCTGAGGCAGGAGAATGGCGTGAACCCAGGAGGCGGAGCTTGCAGTGAGCCAAGATCGTGCCACTGCACTCCAGCCTGGGTGACTGAGCAAGACTCTGTCTCAAAAAAAAAAAGTGTTATGATAAATAAAAAAAAGAGATGCAGCAGACTACTGATTATATGATTCAGTTAATGAAATATCCATATAAAGCAAATTTACAGAGGCAGAAAGCCATCAATGTTTTCCTAGGTGGAGGTTTTGAATGCTAATTTTTTTGTTGTGGTTGTTGTTTTTGAGACGGAGTCTTGCTCTGACGCCCAGGCTGGAGTGCAGTGGCCCGATCTTGGCTCACTGCAAGCTCCACCTCCCGGTCTCATGACATTCTCCTGCCTCAGCCTCTTGAGTAGCTGGGACTACAGGCGCCCGCCACCACGCCTGGCTAATTTTTTGTATTTTTAGTAGAGATGTGGTTTCTCCATGGTCTTGATCTCCTGACCTCGTGATCCGCCCGCCTTGGCCTCCCAACGTGCTGGGATTACAGGCATGAGCCACGGCACCTAGCCTCAAATGCTAATTTAACTGAAAGTAAGCATGAGAAAATTTGGGGGAGGTGACCCAAATATTCTAAGGCTTATTTATGGTAATATTTGCACAAGTCTATAAATTTACTAAAGAATCATAGAATTCCATACTTACAGTGGTTAAGTTATATCAAATGTAAATTATACTTCAGAAAATGGCATTTAAAAAAACAACAGTGTAAAGTTTAGTCTGGCAGTGAAAATTGGGGAATGTTAAGCAGTATAGACAAACCTATCAGTGAATGAATTTTTTTAAAAAAGAAAGAGCCCAGAGATAGAAAATTAAGAAAAGTCTACTTTGACATGAAGCAATGTGAGAAATGTGTGAATGGCTGAGTTCTTCACAATACATTGGCTTTGCAGCCAGTAACACTTGTTACAGGAAATGGCTGTAAGATTTATGTGTAATAGGATTATGCATGCTGAGTTATAGCATTTAATAGTATTTTTACGTAAACTAATAATGCTGCAGTAATCAGTAAAGTCTCCTGAGGTCCTCTCAGAAATCTCACGTTTCAAATGATAGGGCTAGCTTTATATTTCACTCCTGGTAACAAGAGCTGGGGTACTCAAGCATAGACTGAATGATTTAGACTGTTGGGAAGCATGTTTCCATGGGTCCCTTGTGTTCCTACGTGTCTTGCCATGAATTCCAAGAATATAAGGCCCTAACTGCTCTTTAACTGGGCCATTTCTCAAAGTTATGCTAGTAGCAAACAACCATGGAAGAAGCGACACCTCCTCCCAAACGAAGGGCTGGCTTCCTTATCAGATGTTATAAGGTAGTAATTTCACCAGATTTGGCATTCCTCTCCTCTGTGTGCAGGCATCCATTAGTCCAATAGAAACTGGGGTTTAGGGAACCAATGAGAAACCATGCTGACACTCTGGCTACTGTTCTTGCTGTGAGCAATAAAGTCTTTCATCTCCGACCCAGAAGTCTCATTTCTTCTGTCAACATCCATAAAACTGTATCAAGCTAAATTTGTTAGCTTGCAAAAGGGCAAAATGTGAGATCTTTGGCAGCTCTTGACATCTTATTCACAGTATATTTTACTTAAACATAAAGACAAAACAAGTCTAAACATTAAAGCCTGGTCTTTATTACATCATTAGAATTTGTATTAGTTAAATCATATTGCTCACTCCCCATAAGTAGGTTTTATGAAATCTATATTTGTAATTCTTTGTGGGCTAGAACAGTGTATTAGAAAGTTAAAAAGAAGCCAATGGTTTTGAAATCTAATTACAAACTTAATTCTGTGATAAAGAAAATGTTAAACCAGATTCAGTAACCTGTTAAGTATTTTAGTTCAGCTAATTCTACCTGCTGAAATAATAGGCCTTGGATGGAAAGGATCTGAAAGATCCCTCAGGAAGACCTGAAAATGGTAGTCTAGCACTCATCCTTGAACAGTAGCAATGGATGAGGCAAGAATATCATCTTTGGACACAGAACACTAGGTTCAAATTCTAGCTCTGCCACCTATTTGCTATGTAAACTTGGTTATATAACGTAATCCCTCATGGCTTCAGTCTCAATTTATACAATGAGGGCTAACAATAATATCACCATTATTGTGTTGTAAAGATTAAGAAATGTCCATGTGTAACACTGTGCAGGTACCTAAATGCACTTCTTAACCTTTGTTACTCAGTCTTATCAGGAAATGGCTACAAGAGAAACTGGAACTCACCTGTGGGAGGTCAGCACCGCAGCACAGCCTTCCCGAACCTCCTTCATTATTGTTTGCCACAGGTACCGCTTAGAGCAGGGATCCATCCCAGAGCTGGGCTCATCCTGAAGGAAAGGCAACACAGAGTAATCAGCATTTGAAAAACACAAATAGAAATATACACAATGACATGGGAGGCCAGACCCCAGGTGAAAGAAAAATCTCTGCTCTGGCTCTAAAAGACACCTCTCCAATTGGCTTTGTTGCACTCTGCTCAACAAAGCCAGAATGATAGGGGAATGTGAGAGAGCAATGAGTGAGGGCCTGACTCCTCCAGCCATGCAGCATGCTACCCAGGAGCCCCACTTCTTTCTCACCTCATCCAGAGAAATTCAAAAAACAGATCAAAATTATAAAAAAAAAGAACCAAATAGAAATACTGGCGCAGAAAAATAAAATGAAATAAAAAATATAATAGAGAAAAGCACATTTGATCAAGCAGATAAAAAAAATCTGTGAACTTGAGGGCAGATTATTTGAAATTATCCAGTCAAGGAAAATTTTAAAAAAGTAAAAAAGAATTAAGAAGAACAAAGAAAGCCTGACAGGGTTTATGGCACATTATCCAGAGACCTAACTTTTACAATATGAGATTTACAAAATAAAAAAGGTGAGAAAAAGGGGCAGCAGAATGCTTATTAAATAAATAATGGCTGAAACATTCCCAAATTTGGATAAAGAGATAGACATTTGAACATCAAGATATATGAAGCTTAAAAGTTCCCAAATAGCTTCAACCCAACAAATTATTCACTGAGATACGCAATAATCAAACTGTCAAAAATGAAAAACAGAATTTTCACAGCAACAAGAGGAAAAAAAAGGCTCATGACATACATCCACAAGGCTATCAGTGGATTTTTCAGAAGAAATCTTCAGGACTGGGAAAGAGTGGGCCTATGAAAGAAAAAAAACCTGCCAAATAAAAATACTTTACCTACTTTACCCAGCAAAGCTGCCCTTCAGAGATAAAAAAGAGATAAAGAATTTCCCAAACAAAAGCTGAAAGAGTTCATTGACACAATACCTGTCTTATAAAAAAAAAAATGCTCCCAAACAAAAGCTGAAAGAGTTCATTGACACAATACCTGTCTTATAAAAAAAAAATGCTAAAGGGGTTCTTCAAAACAAAATAAAAGGATTCTAATTAGCAACATGAAATTATAAAACTCACAGTAAAGTTAAGTATACAGCCACATTCAGCATACTTTAATGCTTTAATGTTGGTGTATAAATCACTTATAATGGTAATATTCAGATTAAAACACAAAGTATTAAAAATAACTATAGCTATAATAATTTTTTAATGGAAATACAATATAAAGAGCTGCAAATTGTGACATCTAAAACATAAAATGAGATGGTTGGAAGCAAAAGTGTAGTTTTTTTTTAATGTGATATAAGTTCAGTTACTATCAGGTTAAAAATAGACTTTTGTAACTATAAGATGTTTTATATAGATTCTTGGTAACCACAAATAAAAAACCTATAGAAGATGCACACACACACACATACACACACACACACACACAAAAGAAAAAAAAACAGAAATGAATCAAAGCATACCAACATACCAACACAAAAAAAAATTATCAAATTAAAAGAAAAGCAGTAATAGAGGAAAAAAAAGAATAAATAACTTTAAAAATAGCCAGAAAACAATTAACAAAATGTCAAGAATATGATCCTACCTATTAATAATTACATTAAATGTAAATAGACAGCATTTGCCAATCAAAAGGCATAAAGTGAATGAATGGATAAAAACCAAGATCCAATCTTATGCTGTTTGCAAGAGACTTAGTACAGTTTTTTTGGATACACATAGACTGAGTGTGAAACAATAGGTAAAGATACTCCAAGCAAATGATGACCCAGAGGGCATGTTTATCTATATTTATGTCACACAAAATATGCTTTAAGTCAAAAACTGTAAAAAGAGAAAAATACAATGATAAAATGGTCAATTTATATAAAATGATAAAAGAGTAATTGTAAATAGATATGCACTAAACATTAGAGTACTATATATGTAATGCAAATATTAACAAAACTGAAAGGAGTAAAAGACATAAGTACAATAATAATAGGGGAGTTCAAGGCTCCACTTTCAATGATACATTGAATAACCAGTCAGAAAATCAATAAGGAAACAATGTACTTGAACTACCCTTTAGACCAAATGGACCTAACAGCCATACACAGAACATTCCATCCAACAATAGCAGAATACACATTCTTCTCCAGAACACATAAAATACTCTCCAGGAGAGACCATATATTAGGCCACAAAACAAGTCTAAACAATTTTAAAAAAATTGAAATCATATCCAGTATCATTTCAGACCACCATGGTATGATACTAGAAATTAATAAGGAGGAAAACTGTAAAATTCACAAATATGTGTAAATTAACAATATGTTCCTGAACAACCAATGGGTCAAAAATGAAATTAAAAAGAAAATTTTAAAAAATACATGTATCTTGAGACAAATGAAAATGGAAACAAAACAAAACTTATGGGATGAAGTAAAAGCAGATTTGAGGAAGAAGTCATCAACATTAAGAAAAAAAGAAAGATTTCAAATAAATATCTTACCTTTGCAATTGAAGAAACTGGATAAAGAAATGAACTAATCCCAAAGTTAGCAGAAATAGAAAAGAATAAAAGGCCATATATCATAAGCCCACAACTAACATCATATTCAACAGTGAAAAGCTAAAAACTTCAAATCTAAGAAGAACAAGACAAGGATGCCCACTCTAGCCACTTCTATTCAACATAATACTAGAAGTCCTAACCAGAGCAATTAGTCAAGACAAAGAAAAGGCATCCAAATCAAAAAAGAAGTAAAATCATCTTTTCAAAAGCATGATCTAACATACAGAAAACACTATAGACTCCACCAAAGAATCCATTAGAATTAATAAACAAATGCAATAAAGTCATATGATACAAAATCAACATACAAATATCAATAGTGCTTCCATAAAATAACAATGGGTTATCAGAAAAGGAAATTTTAGACAATTTCATTTACAATAAGATCAAAATGAATAAAATACTTAGGCATAATTTTAACAAAGGAAGTGAAAGATCTGTATACTGAAAACTATAACATTTTGATTAAAGAAATTGAAGACAAATAAATGGAGAGCTATCCATGTACATGGATTGAAAGAATTAATATTTTTAAATGTCCATATTACCCAAAGCGATCTACAGACTCAGTGCTATTCCTACAATTCCATTGTCATTTTTTCACTGAAATAGAAAACCAAAATACTGAAATTTATATTTAAAAAACCCAAAAGACCACAAATAGCTAAAGAAAGTAAGCAAGAAGAATGGTGCTGGAGGCCTCACATTTCCTATTTTCAAAATATACTACTATGCTATTATAATTTAAAAAGTATGGTACTTGTATAAAAACAGATGTATAGATTCATAGAAAAGAATAGACAGTACAGAAATAAACCCACACACATATAGTCAATTAATCTTTGACAAATACACTGAAATTAAAACTGGGAAAAGGACAGTCTCTTCAATATATGGCTTTGGGAAAACTGAATATCTACATACAAAAAATTAAAACTCGGTCCTTATCTTACACCATACACAAAAATCAACTGAACATGTATTAAAGATTTAAACATAAGATGAGAAACCATGAAACTTGTAGAAAAAAAAAAAGAAGAGCTCCTTGACATTGGTCTTGGCAATGTTTTGCTTGTTTCTTTTTTGGATATGACACCAAAAGCACATAAAATAGAAGCAAACATAAAGTGGGACTATTTCAAACGAAAAGAGTTTCTGCACAAGAAAGGAAAATATCAACAAAGCAGACAAACTACAGCGGGGGATAAAATATTTGCAACCATATATCCAATAAGGGGTTACATCCTATATATGAAAGTCGTAAAACTAAATAGCAAATAATAATAATTAAAAATAGACAAAAAACTTGAACAGACTTTTCTCAAAAGAAGACATGCAAATGGCCAATAGGTATATGAAAAGATGTTCGACATTATTAATAATCAGGGAAATGCAAATGAAAACCACAATGAGATATCATCTTATACTTGTTAGAATGGCTATTGTTAAAAGGACAGAAGATAACCAGCAATGGCAAGGATTCGGAGAAAAGTGAACCCTTATACACAATTGGTGGAAATGTAAATGTACACATATTATGGAAAACAGTGTGGAGGTTCCTCTACAAATTAAAAATACTACTGCCACTGATCCAGTAATCTCACTTCTGTGTGTGTATCCAAAGGAAATAAAATCAATATCTGGAAGGGATATTTGCAGTGCTATATTCATGACAACATTATTTACAGAAGCCAAGATATAGAAACAACCTAAGCATCCCTAAGTGTATAAATGGGAAAAGAAAATGTGTATGTCTCTCTCTCTCTCTTTCTCTCTCTCTCCCTGTTTCCTTGTCTCTCTCTCTCTCCTCTCTCTCACTGTGTGTGTGTGTGTGTGTGTAATGAAATATTATTCTGCCTGAAAAATAAGGAAATCCTTCCATTTTCAACAACATAAGTGAATCTGGAGGACTTTATGCCAAGCATAAAGTGAAATAAGCCATGCATGGAAAAACACTACTTCTTAGTGAAATATTAAAAAGTTGAACACATAGGAAGAGAGAGTAGAAAGGTGCCAGGCTGTGGAAATGGGGAGATACTTGTCAAAGGGCAGAAAATTTCAGTTATACAGGACAAACAAGTTCTGGAGACCTAATATACAGGATATAGGGCTGCTATAGTTTGGATGTTTTGTCCCCTACAGAATTCATGTTAAAACTCAATCCCTAATGAAACAGTATTGAGAGGTGTGACCTTTGGGAGGTGAATGAGTTTATAAGATTAAGTGACCTTATAAAAGGACCTGATGAAGGACATTCACCTCTTTTTGCCCTTCTGACTTTTGCCTTGTGATGACACCTATTCCTCCCCTCTGGAGGGCACAGGTTTCAGGAAGCAGGGTTGGCACCCTCAGCAGACACCTGGACCTGGCAGTGCCTTGATCTTGGACTTCCCAGACTCCAAAACCTGAATTTCTGTTCTCTGTTCTTTATAAATTATCCAGTCTGTTATAGCAGCACAGTGAACTAAGAGAGGGACTGTAGATAACGATGCTGTATTACATATTTGAAATTTGCTAAGAGGGTAGATATTAAGTGTTCTCATCACATACAGGGGAAAAAATGGCAATTATGTGATGTCATCAATATGTTTATTAGTTTGATTGTAGTCAACACATCAGAATATTTATGTATATCAAAACACATGTTGAATTCATTAAATAGATACCATTTTTATCAGTTAATTATACTTCCATAAAACTGAGAGGAGGGGAATTGGGCTATATTTTCATGTCAGGTTGGTTCTCCTCCATGATCTGGCTAGGTAAGCCAACCCTGATGTTTCTAAAATGAATTTTCAACCTCCATAAAATTTCGGAATGATATCCCCTAGGAAGACATATGATAGCAGAAAAAGGCTTCATTTATTTAGCAACATCAAATAAATTAATATTTCTTAGAACTTGAAGCTTTCTCCTTCAATAGACACCAAAGTATTCCTTATATGAACCACTTCTAGAGAAATCTCGCCAAACTGTAAGATGTATTTCTGTGCTTTTATTAGCCAGGGAGTACTAAACACATATTTCTTAAGAGCTTAGGTTCATAAACTTCCATAAAGAAAGAAACAGATGGGAAGCAGTAAGTGTAGGGGGAGAAGCACTGAACAGGAAAATAAATATCTAGTCTTTTCTGCAAATCAAGCAATATATGTGTATTAGTTATAAAAATAAGTAAATAAAAGGTGTGATCATGCAATGCTCATTATGAGAGTTGTATGTGTAATTTACGTTTTCCTGATTCCCTCCTTGATGTCAGCTCTGAGAATCACTTCTAGTCTCTCTGTTGAGAACTCCAAAGGCCTGGCAACAAATCTCTTTAACCTATTGCTCTGAACAGTAACCATCATCATAGTCACGAATATTTACTGTGGTTTACCATCTGCTAGACACTGGGCTATATGCTTAATGTAGTTTATTTTATTTACTGCTTTCAATGACTCCATGAGACAGACACTATTATCAGGAAAATTTTCAGATGAGAAGGAAACAGGCATAGAACATACAAGGCCAAGTGTTGGGCAGCTGCAGAAGCAAAATTCAAAGCTTGTCAGTCAGACTCCAGAGTCCCCACCTTGACCACTCTGTCACAGGTTTGGGCATCCAAGGAAAGCTGAGAGCAAGGATGTATCAAAGAAAAGCATGTCAGGGTCTGCAGTGAGCAGGTCATGGCTACAGAGCAGAGGCCCCTTCATTCAACTAAGGAGATGCATTGTAAGAGGCTGGGCAAAGGGAAATTCCACAGAAAGTAATGAATGCCCACGTCTTGTTAACTACTCAACATAATCCTGCCTCATGTTGAAAATAAAATGTAATTTGTAAACTTCAGGATTGTGCAAATGGTAGTTTTTATTATCAGATTCTGGAATATGAAACTATACAATAGTCTAGGAATTTGGACATTGCAAAAGCAAATTTATGGTACCTAAAAAGAATATTCAGGTGAGTTTCCAGGAGACAACCAGCAAACGATGAGACCATTTTCCCACACAGACCTTCTCAATCCCCATTTACTACCCCACTAAAAGGGTGTATTCATTTGATGAAGAAAGATAGAAAAAAAGGAATCTGTTTTGTTTTCCACACTTTTTGACACCCCTCAGACTCTCTACTGGTGTGAAGTCCAAAGATGCACTCTACTGATTAGAATCCAATTTATGGCATGTAACAATAGCCTTTATTTATTCTTTCAATGGCATTACTTGTATTAACAGTTATAGCTGTTTTATGAAATGCAAGATAATTAACTCCATTTCTTGACAATTGTTGCCTCCAATTAATGCTTTGATTCATTCAAATCAAATTAACTGCAGTTCCCAGATTGATTATAGACCACCCTGTCTCAAGACCATTGCATATACTCTACCCTCTTGCTGGAGTTTTCTTCCCTACTCTCAACATCATATCCATCCTTCACTCTCAACACCCATCTTTAAGATTCACCATGACAGGTGTCACTACTGCTGTGATAAACATACATCTACACACAGAAAAAGACATAAAAGCAATATTCTAGAGGAAAACATAATTGGTTTTCAGATTACAGATGAATTCTAATAATCTTTTAAAACACTGTTTTAATGTTAAAATTTTATAGAATTTTCAGCTTGACAAATATAAGTGAATCTAGCAAAAAATAAATGTTTTATTTCTGTAAAATACAAATGACATTTGGGAAATGCTGGCTTATGGCAAAACAGTTTACTAGTTTGTAGAACCAGCTTTGCAAGTTCTGAAGTTACTTCCCAGAAAAACCCTTAAAATCAGTTTATAAATCAATATGCAATATGTATCTTACTCCAAGATATTGACATTCTTCTACTCACCAATAAAAGAATGTCAGGTTTCCCCACCAGGGCCAGGGCTGTAGAGAGTTTCCGCTTGGTTCCCCCACTGTAGGTGGCCACAGGTTTGTCCGCGTGGGCTTCGAGGTGTAAGCGCCTGATGAGGTCTCCAGCAACCTGGAAGAGAGGCATGTCCATGTGCACACCAGCATTCACCAAAGTGCCCACCAGACAGCTGGTCTCAGTCCTCATTCCTGCTTCTACCTCCCACTAACCCTGCCGACCTTCACACATACAATCAAGTACATCTCCTGAAACATCCCCCTTTACCATACAGGCAGTAATTGAGAGTGAACAGGTGGGAGTTTTCTGCAGCTGGAGACATCTAAGTGATGGTCAGAATAATCACATCTAGAGTTCAGGGAGAAGGGTGGGCAAGAAACACACTCAAGGTTGGGGGTCCAGATAAATAAGCATGTTGAGGTGAGCAGAGAAGGGTATGCCAAAAAGAAAACTGAGAAGGAAACAAATGGGAATGAAACTAATAGCGGTGTCAAAACTTAAAGGGAGAAGACAACCGAAGCAGAAAATTTTCTTTATTATTTTAGATTCAGGGAGTCTATGTGCAGGTTTGCTACATGGGTATATTGTGTGACACTGAGGTTTGGGCTTCTAATGATCCCACCCAAGTAGTGAGCATGGAACCCAACAGGTAGTTCTTCACCCCTTGTCACACGCCCTCCCTCCGCACTTTTGGATTCCCACGTGTCTACTGCTGCCATGTTTGTGCCCATGTGTACCCAATGTTAAGCTCCCCCCTATAAACGAGAACACACGGTATTTGGTTTTGTGTTCCTGTGTTAATTTGCTTAGGATGATGCCTCCAGCTGCATCCATGCTGCTGCAAAGGATGTGATTTTGTTCATTTTTATGGCTGGAGGGAATTTTCAATATTAACACAAGGAAAGAAATATCCCTTTGACATTGAGAAGCCACTGTTAATGTTTGCAAACTCAGAGTTTGGTTTATAAAGTAACTAGAGATGGGGAGGAGAATGGGAAATATTTCTTATTTGCAACTGCTGAAAACCACTTTGCCAAGACCCAAGGATGGTGGCAGCATTTGTCAAACCTCACCCCTCCAGCCACAGGAGAGTTCAGACTGTACCCAAGAGCCTGCGGTTCACAGCTTCTTTCTTCTTCCCTGCCTTCCACCCTGCCAGCTTGTCCCACATCCTAGAAGGCCCAGCCCATATCTCTCATCAGAAAAAATAATTGTCACTTCTTCTGTGTGATATATGTGTCACCTCTTCTGTGTATTATATGTGTCTATAGAACACTTTTATTTAGCATTTCCCACTGTAATTTGTACCACACTATATTTTCTGTTTCCAGTTCTATCTCCTATGCTGGATTAATTCTTCCTGGGGTCCAAGGTAAGCAATTTTTTTGTTTCCAACTTAGCATAATTTAAAAATTTTCCAAACAATTTTATTTAACTCTTATGACCATAGAAGTATTAATATAGATTCATTTTTTAGATATAATCATATAGCCAAATTGACCAAGATCATATTTTAATTCAAATTTAGGAGAAGAGGGAAAAATTCTATAGGACTAAAAAGATTGGTTAATAATTGTGCATCCCAAATAACTGAATAAATATAAACTAATGTGTATACTCTTTTTGACAAGTACATAAAAGTTAGGATAATAACAATAATGATAATGAAGCATTAAGAACCTCTACAAATATTAGGATAATCATTATGCCCCCCAGTAAAATCTTTCAACAGAAATTATTATATGGCTTTACTTGTGCAACTTCAAAATATGTTGCAAATGAATGAAGAGGCTCAAGGACTGGTCTTATGGTAAAATAGTATAATTCTAGGAAATGCAGATTTCAAGGCCTAAAAGATATATAAAGATGAAATATTTAATCTCCTGCTATCTGCCTAAGAAAATCTTCTCAAGGCCAGTAGTTGGTCTTATTGAAAGTAAAGTCATTTTCCCCAGAATGTTTTATATGAATCATCCTTTTTCCTGGCTCCATTCAGAACAACTATTTTAATTATCACAAGTTGAATAAAAATTCACTTAAGTGAATTTTAAAATATCAAAACAAAACGTTTTATTCATCACAAGCAAACAAACACAAATATTAAAGGAAGGGTCTTATAAATGAAGAAATATAAATGCCTGGCATTTCAGGAATTAAAGAGATAGCAGAAGTAGTCATGTAGCTTCGTCCAAATTTTTCTCACAGAAGAATGGCCAAGAAGTGTAAATCAGTGCTAGATAAACACTCATATGAGAGATGAAGGAAGGAAACCAGGGAGGCTTCCTGGAAAAGGAGGCAGATGTCCCCATAAAAGAGAAGAAAACTAAGAGCATGATAGACCCTGTTAGAAAGCTTTATCTGTCGGAAAAAAGTCCTTACTTAATGTCATCTATATGTTCTTGGAGACCGCTTTAACCGAATCAACATTTAATGAAACCAATTTTACCATAAGCTGATTGGTAGAAATAAAAGTTCCTATGTCATATGTCTGGTCACAAAAACATCTCCAAACTTCTAAATAAAAAAAAACTTCTAATAGCAAACACTGAAATAAATGTGAGCTACACATATATTTGTGAAAGATTAACAAAAACATGATTTACCCAATTATTCCAGTTCAGGGTTGAGGGTGGTCAGAGCCCATCCTGGAAGCTCAGTGCACAAGGCAGGAACCAGCCCTGGACAGCATGCCATTCCATCGAGGGTACACTCACACGCCCACATATACTCACCCACATGGGCTCAATATAGACACACCAAAGAAACTAATGTACACAGCTTTGGGACATGACAGAAAACAAGTGTACCTGGAGAAAATGTATGCAGCCATGGAGAGAGCGTGCAAACTCCTCTCCGACAGTGGTCCTGGCAGAAAATCAATTTTACTTTTCTCATCATTGTAATGAAACAATGTTGAACTAAACAATGTTATTTGGGGACCTGCTGTACTAACAGTGGTGAGGCTGGCAAAAATGACAAATTGTGATAATGATTGTTTTGGTTATTTTTAGATCTATAAATATTACAAGAAAAAGAGAATGAAAATGTGTGTATGTGTGCATGTATTAGAAAGAAATGTTTAGTTACTCTCATCCATGTTATTCAAAGATTAGCCATACATAAAAGAAAACTGATAAACTGACAAATGAAATAAAAATAATAATATATGTACCTGGTTCTGGAGAAATGCACCTGAGAATGCAAGTTACATTTTGAATAAACTTGCCAAATTATTATTGCATATTTTTATGAAGTTAGGAAACATATGTCATGTTTTCCCAATTTCACAAAAGGTTAAATATTGCAGCCTGCAAATTCTGGATTGGTTAACCATAGGAAAGATTCCAGAGTATACAGGAACAAATGTATTAGTTTGATCCAATGTTTTCTGAATGTCATGTTGTCAGAAAATAACTGAAAATAGCCTAATAAGAAGTATTTTGCTGTAGTCTTTTCTGCACTCAGCAATACTGTCAAAGTAATGGCAAAAGCAATGCCTTAGCAATCTCAGTTGGCAAAATACTGCCTAAAATCCCAAAATGTCAAAAGTTCACAGAATCTCTCTCTGAGGTTTGGTATTTTTCTCTCATGAAGCTCTAGAAATTGTACCATACTTCAGGCAAGTTACTGGGATGCATTTGTTTTGGGATGCTTTCGTTTGCGGATGCATTGGTTTTGGGATGAATCTCAATGGGATATGCACTGGGATGGAAATCCCCAGTGTTTATTCATGTTTGGCACATAGTAGGACTTCCATAAACATCACTGGAGCCAAAATAAATTGCCCTGAGATTCACACATACATCTATCAGACTCCAAAGCCAAAGTGTTTCCACTAGCACACATAATGGCCAGGTCAACATTTCTGTGAGATTAAAGACCAAAATGAGTCGTAAAGTAGGGAAAGGGAACCAAGGATTTCAGATGGAAATGTTTATCCTGGCCCTTCCTCTGAAGATGACCTCCTGTCCCCATTCCTACTATCTTATAAATTCTAGCTCCTTCTAGCTAAACTGACTGTGTGAATGGAAGAAAACTTAAATATAAAAGTCATGTCTTTACAGAAGATAAGGGGAAGCAAGACACAGTAGGGACAGTCCCTGGTAGGAATGTGCAGGTATTAACAAAACTAAGATGATGAGGGGCCATACCTCTTCTATACCAGGGAAAACTAAAACACAGAATTTGCCAAATCTCTTCCCATTTAGAAGTACTGGTTGTTTGTTATGGTATGACACTAACATTGAAACTACCTAGCATGATGAACTCTGACACATTTTCTCTAGCATCCCAGACTATGTAGCCCTCATCTCTTGCATCATTTGGTAATAACCAAGTGATATAACTTAATATAACATGCTTTACAAGGTTAATTAAATTGAGGCTCAAATATGTACACTGCACAGTTTTGTGCAGTGTAAATCATGGGAAATTTGGAAATCATTGTTAACTTGTCAAACCTAAGTTCAAGCTTTATGAAGTGGCATCTTATTCTTACCTCATCAAACTTTTGAAAGGTTGAGGAAGTGAGCAATTTGACCATACTTAGAAATGACCAGCAAGTGGAGCACAGGTGGACTGGCTCAGCCATGGCATGGGCTCTGAGGGTCCCCGGGAGGGAGGAGAGGGGACTGTAAGGCTGAACAAAGGAGCCTCCCCGCAAGCACAGAGGGTCTTGCACTAGAATCATAGAGCTTACAATGGTGGCTCTCCATGTTACAATGAAAATAGATGGCAGCCTGAAGAAAACAACTAAGGTGAGCAGCAGATGTGTCTAAAGATTACCCCCATATCTATGAGTTCTGAAAGCCTGGAGGTGAGGCACACATGTTGAGTCCAACTCCAGACCAATGGAAAGCCAGGCAGCAGGAGGAGCCCCATGTTAGAGAAGTCATGCACTAACCCCACACAGTTTCCACTTCTTTGGCCATCCCAGGGTTATAAAAATAAGACTGAACTGTTAATACCACCAGAAATTCCATCTTATACAACTAACAGCCTGAATAAACTAAGTGTCAGAGTAATGTCTTAGTCAAGAACTTGTACCCTGGAGCTGGTTTATATGGTTTCAAAGTAAAACCTTGCCAAATACTAGCCATGTGAACATGGGCAAGTGGCCTAATTTCTCTGGTGTCTCAGTTTTCCTGTGTCTCTGTGTCTCAATTAAACTGTGTCTAATTTCTCAGTTTGTAAAATGGGAATAAGCATCTACTTCATATGGTTGCTGTAAAATACTTAGAACAGTACCTGATGTGGAATAAATACTGAAAGATAAAACTTTATTTTCCATTATTTTATAATAATTCTTTCTGGACATCTTGTGATAAGCACCTCAAAATGGATATGCCTGTTCTATAACTTAAATATTCCCAAAATATATAGAAAAGAAAATTTGTTTCCAGAAAAGGAGCTAACTCCTTTGGAAACAGATGCAAAAGTGTGCAGACATCTTAGAAACAAGAGCAAGTAGCAATACTGTCTGCAAAATCAGTTACAGTTTTATAAAGGAAATGAAGGCAGTTCCTAATTGGTTACCATTTAAATAACTTTTATTGGTAGAACAATTCAGAAAAACAAAGTTGTAAGACAGATGAATATCAAGACACAATTGCCCTGAATGACAGAAAGCACCGACCTACATTAACGAGAGCTTTTTCATAAGCATGTTTCCCTCGAAAAACAAAAGTGCCAGCTTAAAGCCTTTGCCAAGCACCCGCCTCTTTCATCAAAAACTAACAAAGAGGAGCTGACAGAGATAAACACCGATTAAAAATTGATCCAACAATTAGCCACGGATGCCAATAACTGTTTAACTACAACCAGCAGGTCTCTGTGGGGTGGTCAGTTATCTTTGCTTTATTAAGACGGGAGATGGGAAAAGGGGCCAGAGTCCTTACAATGAGGTGCAGACATTCTGTTTAGTTTCACTTAAAGTTAGAAAGCATAAATAAGAAACAAATGCTGAAGCATTATAAAAACAGAACAGAGAATGAACGTTCATGGACCAGTGAAGGCGAAGGCTATTAGTTTTGTCTCCTGTGAGTCCTAGAATTTTCCCTCTCCCGCAGAATCTAATTGCAAACGCATAATATAAGCCACTTATTTCTGCTTCTAGTTCAGAATCCAGAAATCTGAGGAGCACGCACCCCAGACTTTCTATAATGAGGTGCAGAAAAGGTAAAAATGTGCTTAAGTAACTGCAATTTTGGTGGCTCACGGTACAACATCCTGAGCTGTCAATCAAGGCTGTCCGCTCTGCTTCGCTGACCTCTACTCACACAGAAGAAGTGGCAGCTGTCTTTTGCTCTCTCACTGCTCCACCTGCCTCTCTCCTGTCACAGGCAGTGATGGAGGTGGGGGTCTCAGTTTCTGCCACTCCTTCATTCCCCTAAGACCACCCAGAAAGGAATCCCCTGGCAGAAGGAATCCCCTGGCAGGAGGAATCTGTCCGCCCACTCATCAGGAAGTCATTCCTTCCAGCAGTCCCCCAGATTCCACACATAATTTGTGCCCACACTTTCACAAGCCCTGAAAATACAGAGTTTGTGATATTTCTTCCTGAATACAAGTTTGTAGTTCAATAAATGTAAAAGGCATTTAGAGAGGAAGAAAAGAGCAAGGGGGATACAAAGTTATAAATGATGTATTTATGCTTTAACTCCGACCACATGACTGCCTCACACAGATACCTTTTAAATATATAATGTAAAATAAGGGAAATATATTTAATGTTTTCTTCAGTATAATCATATTAGAAAATCTCTTGCAGGTAAGTTTATCTGATACTACAGTTCCTTCTCCTCATAGGGTGAGAGAGCTGCCTTGGAGCCAGAGGTGGTCACCAAGCATTCCTCAATGGGTCCCTTTATCTAGAAGACCCCAGGGAGATTTACCTCAGGGATGCACTGCCTTGGAATCCCGCGTAAGCTACAGTAATAATAGAGATGTTCCCAACCAGTCAGAAGCTCGTCCAGGGCATCCTGCTGGGGACAGTAGCCAATGAGCACGCCTGCCGTGCCAGCAGAAGACAGGTCCACGGCGTCTCTGCAGAGAGAAGCAGCACAGGCTGAGAACAGCAGTTTCCCAAACTGGCACCAACCCATTTTTAAAATGTGGCTCATCAATAACAAGTCCACTGCAGTTTATTTAAAACAATTAGTTCATTTCACAATAATAGGTTCATTTCATGAGACGTGAAGAATACAAGAAGTCACCCCAAAATAGGCCTCTTTGGCATATGGATTATTTTGAGCTAAAGGCAACTGAGAACCAGAGGACAAAGGAAAAGCTCTTTATCTCTCCTTAACTGCCTAAAAATTCAGTATAAATGTCTTCTTTTGAAAAGGAAATTCACATTTACAAAGGAAATTTTCATTTGTAAAGATGTCTCCCTACCAGAAAGAGAGCTACTTTCCCAGAAAACTCTGAACTGGAGAGACTCTTATCTGCATAATGAGACAACCCTAGTCCACCATACATTTCCTCCCCTCACCTTCCCATAGCTGGCCTCCCCTGCCCAGAATCCCCAAATCCCTTTTGCTTTGTTTAGCCTTATATGGTACATAAGCCTCAATCATCTGGGCAGCTCCTTGAGTCTTATTTTTTGTGTGAAACTCCTGTGTCTACATACATAATCAAACTGTTTTTTTATTAATATGTATTGCTGAATCAGGTGGGAAGACTATATTTAGTTTTATAAGATTCTGCCAAACTGTCTGCCAAAGTGGTTGTACCATTTTGAATTCCCATCAGCAGCAAATGAGAGTTCCTATTGCTCTACACTGTTGTCAACATTTGGTATTGTCAGTGTTTTGTATTTTACTCATTCTATTAGCTATATAGATGCATTGCATTGTTGCTTTTATTTGCAATTTTCCAATGACATATGATGTTGAGCATCTTATGAACTTATTTGCATCTGTCTTCTTTGGTGATACATCTGTTCATATCTTTCACCCATGTTTTAACTCTGTGTTTTCTTATTGTTTAATTTTAAGGATTCTTTATGTATTTCATATACAAGTCTTTTATGAGACATGGGTCTGCAAAATTTTTTCCCAGTCTATGGATTGACTTTTTAATGTCTTAACAGTGTCTTTTGCAGGAGCAGAAATGTACTTTAATGAAGTCAAACTTACCAACATTTTCTTTTATGGATCATGCTTTTGATATTGTCTCTAAAAAGGCATTGTCACATCCAAGGTCACCTAGATTTTATCCTATGTTATTTTCTAGAACTTTTATAATTTGTATTTTACAATCAGGTCATAGATCCACTTGGAGTTAATTTTTGTCACAGGTATAAGTTAAGTGCCCAGATTCATTGTCTGGCATGTGGATGTCCATTTGTTCTGGCACCATTTGTTGCAAAGATGATTATTTGCCCACATGGTTGCCTTTGTTCTTTTGTCATATATCAGTTGACTGTATTGATGTGGGGCTATCTCTGGGAATTACTGTGCTTTTATAGTAAATCTTAAAGTCAGGTAATGTCAGTCTTCAGACTTTGTTCTTCCATACTGTGTTGCCTATCATGGATCTTTTGTCTTTCCACATAAACTTGAAAATCAGTTTGTTAATATCCACAAAGTAACACTGGGATTTTGATTGGGGTTGTGTTAAACCTAACATTCAGGTTGGGAAGAACCAATATCTTGTTGATGTTAAGTTTTTCTACCCCAAAACATGGAATATCTATTTATTTAGAGCTTTTTCTATTTATTTCATTAGGATTTTGTAGTTTTCCTCACATAATTTGTTAGATTTATAGCTAAGTATTTCATTTTGGGGATTGTTAATGTAAATGATATGTTTTTAAAATTTCAAATTCCAATTATTCATTGTAGATATATAGGGAAACATGACTTTTCTATATTAACGTTGTATCCTGAAACCTTGATATAAATGGCTATTAGTTCTAGGAGTATTTTTTTGACAATTCTTTGGGAGTTTCTACATATATAATCATGTCATCTATAAGCAATAACAGTTTTATTTATTCCTTCACAATCTGTGTGATTTTAACTCCCTTTTCTGCTCTTATTGCATTACGTAGGACTGCTTGCTGGCAGAGTATTGAGGTAAGAATGGAGAGAGAGGACATCTTGTTCCCAAACTTAGGAGAAAGGTAGCTAGCTTCTCATGATTTAGTATATCACTTGAAGGTTTATTACAGTGTTCTTTATCAAGTTGAGGAATGTCCTTTCTGTTCCTAGTTTGCTGAGAGTTAGTATCATGAATAAGTGTTGGCTTTTGTGAAAAATGTTGTTATGCATCTGTTAATAGGATCAAACCATCTTTTCCTTTTATTCTATTGTTGTAATGGATTATATTAATTGATTTTCAAAAATTGAACGAACCTTGCCTATCTGGAATAAGTCCTTCTTTGTCATAGTATATAATTCTTTTCGTACATTGTTAGACTCAATTTGATACTTTGTTGAAAATTTTTGCATGTATATTCATAAGAGATACTAGGCTATAGTTTTCCTTTCTTGTAATGCCCTTGTCTGGTTTCAGTATTATGATAATGCTGGCCTCATAAAAACAGTTAACCATAATTGTTCTGTATCTATTTTCTAAAAGACATTGCAGTAAATTGATATCATTTCTTTCTTAAATGGTAGAATTCACCAGTGAGATCACCTAAGTCTAGTGCTTTTGCTTTTATGGTCATTAGTTATTGATTCAATTTCTTTCAATGATATATACCTATTTGGATTGTCTATTTCTCCTTGTATGTGTTTGGGTAAATTGTGTCTTCAGGGAATTGGCCCATTTCAAGTAAGTTATCAAAGATGTGGGCATAGAGTTGCTCAAAATATTTCCTTATTAATATTTTAATGTTCATGAGAGTAGTAAGGATAACATCTTTGGTTTTTGATATTAGTAATTTGTATTTTCTTTTTTTCATGGATAATCTCACTAGGAGTTTATCAATTTTATTTATTTCATCTTTTAATTCATTGATTTCAGCTTTTAGTTTCATTGATTTTTCTTTATTATTTTCCTTTTTATAATTTTATTGATTTCTCCACTAATTTTTATCATTTCTTTTCTTCTACTTACTTTCAATTTAATTTGCTCCTCTCCCTCTAGTTTAGTAACATATAAGCTTAGATTATCTATTTTAGGTCTCTAATCTTTTCTAACAGATGCATCAAATTCCATGAATTTTCCTTTAAGCACAACTTTTGCTGTATTCCACAAACTGTGATAGGTTTAAATTTCATTTTCATTGAAGCTTAATTTTTGTAATTTCTTTTCTGATTCCTTTAACGTGTGTGTTACCCAGAAATAGGTTATTTAATGTCCAAATATTTGGGGATTTCTAAAGCTATCCTTCTATTTTTTATTTCTAGTTTAATTCCATTGTGGTTTGACAGCATAGTTTGGATGATGTCTATTTCTTTATTGTTAAGCTGTTATTTGGGCTTTTAGTGTGAGGTTTGAGTTTATCTGACTAGAAGTTATATTGTGCTTACTGGTGGCTGTCTCAGTGGTGTTAGTTCTAGTGTCCTTCTGTTTATACCCAGTTGTCTTTGGGTTTGCCTAGAGATTCCATCTTAAATAGAGTCTGAGGCTTGTAGTTCTCTTAGTCCCTGGTTATTACACAGGAGCACCACTGATGTGGTGGTGAGGAGTTGGTTGAGGGGAAGAGTTCTATATTCCCACAATCATGTCTCAGTCTTCTAGAGCCTGAGCTGGGCATTTCCCTTTTCCCAGGTCAGTTAGGCTCTGGAAAAGCAGTTTCCCCTTTGGGCTGGTCTTTCTAATGCTTACAGAGGTCTGGGCATACTTCTATATAATTAACTCCTGCTGAAAGCACGAAAGGATTTTTCCCCTGTCTTCACATGGAGAATCTGGTAGGGTTCCTGTAGGTAATACTCATCAGTGAGGAGCCCCCAAGGCTACTTTCAAGTTAGTCCACACTGAGCCTACATCACTTTTTGATTATAGCGGATGTGTTCCTACTGATCCTGGCCTCATATGGTGACTTCTGCTTCTGGGTCTCCTGATTCACAGTCCTGGGCTTCCTTCTAGTACAGTCGTTTTTCTATATCCATGGGGGGTGGGTCTAGGACTCCCTTTGGATACTAAAAATCCACAGATGCTCAAGTCCTTTATATAAAATACTGTAGAATTTGCTTATAACCTACATACATCTTCCCAAATACTTTAAATCATTTCTAGATGACTTATAATACCTAATGCAATGTAAATGCTATATAAACGGTGGTTATGCTGTATTTTTTAGGGAATACTAACAACAGGAAAAGTCTGTACATGTTCAGTACCGGCAGAATCATCCCTTTTTTTCTGAATATTTTGTGGCACAGTTAGTTGAATCCATGGATATGAACCCATGGGTGTAGGGGGTCCCCTGACTGTCTCTCTAGTACTGGGGTAGCAGTTTGCTTTCTGACCTCAAATCTCTGAGGGATCTAAGAAGAGTTGATAATTTTTAGTTTTTAAGGTATTTTCCTGTTGTGAAAATGAAAGTGACAACTTGCAAGCTCTTTAAATGTTGTACCAAAAGCCACAACTCAGTACCTTTTTCAGTAGAGTTTTTGTTTCATTTTTTCATGTTCCACATCTCTGACCCACAGGAAAAGCTATAAATTTTAAATGTATCTCTCCATCCTCTACATTGTATACCATTCTCTTACTCATCATGTCAATGGCTTCTAATCTACACAGTAGAACAATTTCTCAAGTTTATCACTGGCAGCGCTAATTTAATATTCCGCACTTTTAATTCTGTTGTATGTGATAAATATAAGAGAAAACAGAATTTAAGATCTACTGGGTACTTAATTTCCTTTACATTAGTTTCTATTACATCCATATTCTCCTATCTTTCAAATTCAGCTAGCACATTTATCATGAAAGTTTCCACACTTATGTCATAAAATTTTAACCTTTAAGTCTTTAGAGTATCAACTTTTAAAAAACCATTCCCTTATATTTAAATAATAAAAATATCCATGTATAATTTTTAGTTAGAATCTTTCCATAGTGCTCCAATCAGCTTTTGTACCATAATTATTCTGGTGTATTATTGTTTATGCATTCTTCTAAAGAGAGCAAGATTGCCAGAAAAAAATACAAAATATCCACTTAAGTTTATAGTTCAGATAGACAATGAATAAATGTTAAGTCTAAGTATGTACCATAAAATGTTTACATGTGTTATGCAAAAAAAAAATGTCTACTGGAAACTCAAGTTTCAAGTATTTTCTGGATAGGGGAATATTTATAAATGTTAATGTATATATTACCTGTGGCTTCAAATATACCATCCATGTGCTATATTATCCTTTTGCTTTATTATCAAAATTGATGCTAAAATGGGAGTTGTTTTCAATAGCCCATAAAACAATGGAACAGCTGGATAAAATGCAGAAAAATCTATTTAAAGACTAGGAATTAAAGATTCAAATCCCAAAAAGAAGAAACTCACTGAGAGGAGACATGTGTTTTGTTTGTTTTTCCTCGAAATATTAGTCACACATATAAAATGAGGAAGAAGAAGTAATGATGTTGTGGAGAAAGTGATGGCTAAAAGGCAGAGGAGCTAAGCAAAGCTGTTATTAGTCTTTGGAAGAGATAAAAATTGAGATTCAGGGCTACCAGAGCAGACAGGACTTGAGAGGCCAATATCCCAGGGGGAAGAAAGTAAGAAAAACCCTGTAACTCTAGGTGTCTCATGCTTGAGATGTTCATTAATGTATGAGTAATGCAGGTCTATAATTGAAGAGGGAAATCAAGACACAAATCTAAGAATCTAAAAAGTAACTAAACCTATCAAATTTATAACAAACCTGGAATAACCAGCTGGGATAACAGAAACTGTCATTAAGCAGACATTCAGGTGTTGGGACTCTGGCAAATGAACGTGGCTTTCAGTCAGGGCCATTGAACAGTGAAGCCTCCGGAAATGTAAAAATAGACAAGCCCTTTAAAAAACGTATTTAGTAAGATCATCCCATTTTCTGAGATAATTTTATCTATTCTAATTCCATATCAAAGCTAAAGAGAATTCTCTTTGAAGTAAAACAGAATCATCCAGAGACTCTAAATATTTTCATTTAATCAAAATTTATCAGTTGTTATGGGTTGAATCGTGTCCCATCCAAAATAATAGTAATAATAATAATAATATTGGGGTCCTAACTCCCCATGCCTTGGAATATGACCTTATTTGAAGATAAAATGTCACAGAGAAAATCAAATCCAAATGAGGCTACTATGGTGGGCTTTAATCTGGTATGACTGATGTCCTTAAAAAAAGGAAAATGTGGACACAGACACATATATAGAGGGAAGACTATATAAACACACAGAGAGAAGATGGTCCTTTATAAGCCAAGGAGACAGGGCTGTAGCAGATCCCTTCCCCACAGCAATCAGAAGGAACTAATGGCAACAGCTTGATCTCGGAGTTCAAGCCTCTAGAACCATGAGAGAATAAATTTTCCTGGTTTAAGCCACTAAGTTTGTGTTCTGTTGTTGTTCTTGTTGTTGTTGCTTTGAGATGGAGTCTCACTCTGTAGCTGAGCTTGGAGTGCAGTGGTACAATCATAGCTTACTGCAGCCTCGAACTCCTGGGCTCCAGCAATCCTCCCACCTCAGCCTCCCAAGTAGCTCAGACTACATATATGCACCATCAGGCCTGGCTAATTAAATGTTTTGTTGTTGCTGTTGTTGTTTTGTTTTGTTTTGTTTCTGTTTTGTGGAGATGGAGTCTCGCTATGTTGCCCAGGCTGGTCTCAAACTCCTAGCCTCAAATGATCCTCCCATCTTAACCTCCCAGAGCACTGGGATTACAAGCATGAGCCACTGCACCCAGACAGTGGTATATTTTTACAGTAGTCCTAGAAAATGAATACACCAGGAATACCACTTAAAAAAATAAATAAATAAGATAAAAAACAAATAAAATAAAAATAAACCCACAAGTGATATAGATATTGGAGTTATCAGACATAGACTTTAACATAGTTTAATTAATAAATGAACAAAAAAGAGGAAAAAGAGGTGAATTATACTAGAAAATTGAAATCTGTTTAAAAAATCAAATAAAAATTTTATAACTGGAAAGTTATAATAAGCAAAATTAAGACAGTAACAGAGTACTTTAAACATAGTAATGAATAGAAACATTAATATAATTTGATACAAAATACCAGTATCAGGAATACTAACATCACTTAAGATAGATATTAAAAATAAAATTTTAGTATATTATGCACCAAATTTCTGCATAGAAATGGAATAATTTAGATGGAATAGAAAAATCCCTTAAAACATAATAAACCAAGAAAAGGAAGAAATAGAAAGCCTAAAAATTTCTACATGTAAAACGAAATTGAATCATTAATTAAAATTGTTTTGATAAATTTAGACCCAAATGCTTTCATTAGGGCATTCTTTGAAACATCTATGTAAAAATTACATGGATCATACACTATTCTGGAAAACAGGCTGGAAACAATTTTCAAGTTACTTACTGAGGCCATTATTCCTTGACAATTAAACCTGGCAAATGTGTTACAATAAGTAAAATTCACAAGATAATTTCATATAATAATCACCACAAAATTTTAGTAACTATTACCCAATTAAATCAAGTGATATATAAAAGGGGTATTAAATTTTGACCAAGTCAACTTTATCCATGAATTCAATATTTTTTAAATAAAATTTAAAAATTATTTAATGTCACATAATATACTAAGAGTATAAAGAAAAGGTGAGAAAAAATAGTAAAATGTTAAAATTATTGCTTATAAAAATAGCTGGGCATGTAGTCCCACCTACTAGAAGGCTGAAGCAGAAAGATTATGTGAGCCCAGATGTTTGAGGCTGTGGTGAGCTATGATCATGCTGCTGTACTCCAGCCTGGGTGACAGAGCAAGACCCTGTCTCTAAATATATTCTTTATAAAAATAAATAAATAAAAGTCAAAAATTGAGCTAGAAAGGAAAATATAAAAGAACTTTCTTAATCTGATTTTAAAATGTATGCCAAGTCCATAAAAGCTATATATTTCTGTTAATAATAAAATATGTATTTTATTTTATTTGAGACAAAGTTTCACTCCATCACCCAGGCTGGAATGCATTGGCACGGTCTCGGCTCACTGCAAATTCTGCCTCCAGGATTCAAATGATTCTCATGCCTCAGCCTCCCAAGTAGCTGGGATTACATGCGTGTGCCACCAGGCCCAGCTAATTTTTTGGTATTTTTAGTAGAGATGGGGTTTTGCCACGTTGGGCAGGCTGCTGTTGAACTCCTAACCTTAAGTGATCCATCCACCTCGGCCTCCCACAGTGCTGGGATTACAGACATGAGCCACTGCACCCAGCCTATGTTAATCATAAAATATTTAAAGTTTTCCCTTTCATATCAAAAACAAAAGTAAGGTCCCCATTACCACCTCTTCTATTCAACATTATAATGCCAGTGCTGGCCAGTGCAATAAGGCAAGAAAAAGAAAGTTATAAAGATTGAAAGAAAATAATAATGTTGTATATATTCAGGAATGAGATCCTTATGTGTATAATATATACAAAATAATCTATACCTAGACAAATCATAATCAAACTGTCAAAGACTTCAGACAAAGGGAGAATCATGATGGCAATGAGAGAAGTGACTCATAGTGTAAAAAGAATCTCCAGGAAGGTTAATAGCTGCTTTCTTAACAGACATCACAGAGGCCAGAACACAATAGGATGGCATACACAAAGTGTCAAAAGGTTAAAAGAAAAAAAAAAAGCTAGCCTAGAATTCTACAGTAAAGAAGAAATAAAGAAGAAATGACTATCTTTTAAAATTTAATGAGAGATTAAGATATTCACAGCTCAACAAAAACTGAGAGAGTTTGTTGACAGTGGAACTGCCTCAAAATTACTAAATGAAGTCTTTAAGCTGAAATGAAAAGTACTAACAGTAACATGAATCCACATAATGAAATAAAACAAAAAGCACTGGTTAAGATTACCATATAAAGAAATATAAATGACAAGATAAATGTACGTGTTTCTTGTAATTCCTTTTTCTGTTTTAGTTAAATGCATTTCCATAATAGAATAATTTAAAAATCAATGCTGATGAGCACACAATCTCTAAAAATGTAATTTGTAATAATAATAGCATAAATGGGAGAGGAGCTATGTAGAAACACAATTTTATAAACTATTGAAATTAAGTTGGTATTAATCTAAATTAGAGAATTTTAACTCAAGATGTTAGTTGCAATCCCCAGGAAAACTGCTAAGAAAATAACTCAAAAATATATATAGCAAAAAAACACAATAAGGACTTAAAGTGGTATGTTAGAAAATACTTATTTAGCACAAAAGATGGCAGTAATAGAAGAACAGAGGAATGAAAAATATAGAGGAAATATAGAAAACAAATAGTAAAATGGTGGAAACCAATTTTACCATCTCAATAATTAGATTATTTAGCTCATTTACATTTAATGTAATTACCACATAATTATCAATTAATTCTACCATTTAACAAATTCATAGATTGGCAGACTGGATTTTTTTTTAATTATCCAACTGTATGCTGTCTATAAAATATACACTTTAGAATCAAAGTCACAAATAGTTTGAAAGTAAAAGGATGCAGCTGGGTGCGGTGGCTCACACCTGTAATACCAGCACTTTGGGAGGCCGAGGCGGGTGGATCACGAGGTGAGGAGATCAAGACCACCCTGGCTAACATGGTGAAACCCCGTCTCTACTAAAAAACAAAAAATTGGCCAGGCGTGGTGGCAGGCGCCTGTAGTCCCAGCTACTTGGGAGGCTGAGGCAGGAGAATGGTGTAAACCTGGGAGGCAGAGCTTGCAGTGAGCCAAGATTGCGCCACTGCACTCCAGCCTGGGCGACAGAGTGAGACTCCATCTCAAAAAAAAAAAAAAAAAAAAAAAGAGGATGCAAAAAGATATACAATGAAATCAGTATCCAAAAGAGAGCTGAGGTGACTCTACTAATATATAACAAAATAGACTTGAAGAAAATATTGTTACTAAAAACAAAGAAAAACATCTTATAACAATAGAAGGGTCAATTCCTTAGGAAGACAGACTAATCATAAAAACATGAAATTAAGAACAGAGCCACACAACACACAAAGCAAATGCTGACAGCATTAAAGGGAGAAATAGACAATTCAACAATAGAACAAGTTCAATACACTATATTCAATATTTAATAGAATAACTATGCTAGAAGATTAACAAAAATATAGGAGATTGGAACAATACAACAAGATAACTAGACCTAAGAGACTATAGAGACTTAGAACTCTCCATCCAAAAAGAGCAGACTGAACATTCTTCTCAAATGTATATAGAAGCAATTCTCCAGAATAGAACAAGTGTTTGGCTATTAAAAAAACAAACAAACAAATAAAAAGACTTATTAGCTGGGTGCAGTAGCGCAAGCCTGTAATTCTAGCACTTTGGGAGACCAAGGTGAGCAGACCATTTTAGGTTAGGAGTTCAAGACCAGCCTGCCCGATATGATGAAAAACACTCTCTACCAAAAATGCAAAAATTAGCTGGCCATGGTGGCAGATGCCTGTATTCCCAGCTACTTGGAAGGCTGAGGCAGGAGAATCACTAGAACGTGAGAGGTGGGGGTTGCAATGAGCCGAGATCATGCCACTGCACTCCAGCCTGGGTGAAAGAGCAACACTCCATCAAAAAACAAACAAACAAACAAGCAAACAAAAAAACTCAGTAAGTGAAAAGGACTGAAATCATACAAAGTATGTTCTTTGACTACAATGGACTAAAATTAAAAATCAATACAGAAGCAATCTTTGGGAAATTCCAAATGTGTAGAAATTAAACAACATACTATTTCATAACCAATGGGTCAAAGAAGAAATCAAAAGGAAAATGAAAAAATACTTTGAGATGAATGAAAACAAAAACACAACATATCAAAACATGGTATTCAGCTAAAAAGGTACATAAAGAGAAGATACAGCTGTAATATCTGTATTATTTTTTAAAAAGGTAGATGTCAGAACAATAACCTAGCCATTTACATTAAGAAATTAGAAAAACTAAAGCAAACTAAACCTAAAGAAAACAGAATAAAAAAATAATGATTTGAGCAGAAATAAATAAAATAGGGAAGAAATAATAAAGAAAATAATCATAATCAAATCTTGATTCTTTAAGGTCAATCAAATCTACAAACTCATAGCTACAATGACCAACAAAAGGGAACAAGAATATTAAAATTACTAAAATAAGAAATAAAATATTTCTACCAATCTTAAAGAAATGGAAAATTTTTTAATAGTCTAAATATTCGTATGCCAAAATCCTAAGAAATTTAGATAACACGGACAAATTCCTAGAAAGACAGAAAATACTGAAAGTGACCAAATGAGAAAAAGAAAATCTAAACAGATCCACAAATAAAGATACTGAATTAGTAATAATAATAATAAAAACAATAAAAACAATGCCAAAAAACCTTTTCATAAATAAAAGCCCACTACCAAATGGTTTCACTGGTGAGTTCTACCAAATATTTAAAAATGGATTAATACTAATGCTTCTAGACTATTTCAAAAAGTAGAAGAGAAAAAAAATTCCCAAGCTAATTACATAAGGTCAGTATCACCCTGATACCACAACTAAAGACATGACAGAAAACTATATAACATTATTTCTTATAAATAGATGTTTAAAAATCCTCAACAGAATACAAGTAAATCAAATCCAGCCCATATAAAGAGAAGTAGGCACTATGCTCAAGTGTAATTTATTCCAGGAATGCAAAGTTAGTTTAATATATAAAATTAATTATTTGTTGATTCTACCAATCATCTATACCATGTTAATGGAATAAAGTGCAAAAACCACACATCTCATTAAACTCAGAAAAAGAATTTGACAAAATTCAATACCCTTTTATGATAAAACAGGAAAAGAATTTGAGATAAAAGGAAGTTATTGTATGAACCTATTTATATGGAATTTCCAGGATACTCAAATCCATGGAGATAGAAAGTAAATTAATGGTTGACAATGGGGGGACGCAATGGAGAATGATTGTTAATTGGTATAGGGTTTCTTTTCAAAGTAATGAAAGTGTTCTAGAGTTAGTGGAAATCATCATATGGCTTTATGAATATGGTAAAAATCACTGAATTGTTGCATTTAAAAAATTATAAGTTTGATAGTATGTGAATTATGTCTTAGTTAACCAAAACACTACCAGTATTTACAAAAGCTAAACACACACATGCTCTATGGAGGCAATTTCATTCATATACGTATTGGGGATTGTTCCTAACAAATATCTGTCATTATTAATGACAATAAAACTATTGCAACATGTGACAATATGGAAGCATTTTACAAATATGATTTTATAGGAAAAAATCGCTCATGTAAAAATATAAACTGTATGATCTCATTTATATAAAATTCACAAACAAGTAAAACTAACCTATGCTAATAAAAGCCAGAACAGTGTTTATCTTTGGTTTAGATAGGGTCATGAAAGGAGTTTCTTGGGGGTCTGCCAAAGGTCTCTCTCCTGATGATAGTTACATGTATGCTAATACTATAAAAGTTCATCAACCCATATATTTATGATTTATGAGTATTATATACTCAATGTTTAAGTTGATATTTTAAAATTTGTTGGTAATCTCCACACATTAATTAATCACCTAGCACAAATGTTCATGTCTAAAAAAGGTTTTATATAAGTTCTGATAGAATGTGTTTGGATGGTCTCCTACCAACTACTCCCCAATCTCAATGAGCTCCCTAACAATGTAAAGCCATATAATATATATTTTAAATGTTCTAAAACATATAAAGATATGGAATACATATTCAGATATTCTTTGCATTGTCCAATGACCCCAGCACCCTTGCAGCCTCTGCACTGCCCAAGGCCCATACTCATTTTTTTCTACTCAGTATCTTTCTACTTCAAAACAGGAAATACAGCACTCTGCGAACACAGGGATTCAACAATGGAAAAGGTCTTTCTGCCTTCAAAGCAACCCGTCATCCAGTTCAATGACAGCTGCCTAATTTTTAATTACTTAGATTATATTTTTAAACTAAGGGCATGACTTCATAATGAAAACAAATGAAGAACCTTTACTTCCACTTTCAGAGCAGGGTATCTTCTGTGTGCCGTACAATTAAAATGGTTGCAGTTGCTTTGCAGTTAGTGGGAATCACCTCACTCAACTTTTGCACACAGCATATCTATCAATTCTTTAGATTTTATTAAGCAGTGATGTGTCTATCACTATAAGTAGTTCGGTAGAATGTTTGCGGAGAAGATCCAGAGTGTGCTAAACCACAGTAGAGGTCAGTACTCAAATAGCATTTTAAAGACATGTTAAGTCAAACTGTACTGTGATTTCCCATGCTCTATTTTATTGGCTTAAATACCTGCTGCTCTGTGAATAGCTAAATTTCTTTATGTGAATTTTGGGGGCAAATAAGGATCTACGAAGACCAACCTGACAACTCAGTTTAAGTGAACAGGACCCATTTTCCATGGTGTCTTCTTATAATCCAGATGGAAGCACTAAGTGGGTACAGCCTTGTGCAGATTTGCATACAAAAGGAGGTCATATGATAATAAAGCCTTTCAGCAAGGCAAGAGCTTATTATCTAAACCAGAGCTCATTCTGACTGACCTAGAAGAAGTGAGCTCATCTATATAAATCTTCTAATCTATCTCTGTGAGATGCTAACCAACATCTCCTTAATCAAAATCACTGTCAATCATATTGATATTATTAGAAAATGCTCACATCCATTTTACGGTTTCCATGCACTTGCATTTCAGTTATCTCAACCTAGCAGTGAAAGTCATAACTGTATGCTTTACGCTTCAGCACCACTTGGAAAGGCAAGACATTTTTTAGTCCTGGGTGGGACAGAAAAGTGAGCTTCAAGTGGCTTTTATCATGATGCATGCTGACTAGCTGTTTCTCCCCCTTTATTTAATGACATAACAGATCAAGAAATTTTGGAAATTAAATAAAATGTTTGGAGCACTCTGAGGGGTCTTTGCCAGATCAAGAACCTTCTCACTGCAGGCATTTAATTTCCTTTATATTATCAGCAGTCTGTAAACCGTGAAAGTAGGTCAATGAGAGTCAAGAAAGAACAGCTCAATGGTCCTGATTTGATTTGCTTTCCAGATAGTATTTTAAATTCATTTGCTTCCAAACTGCTGGATTCTCTACTGCCACTGGCCATACTTTATAGGAAGGTTAACCCCCAGTTTACCACCTGCCCTTTCATCAAGTGACTGGATCCTGAATATCTGAATTGTTTTTGTGTGTTAACAGGAATGTCACAGGCTCCTGTCTGTTGGTCTTGTTAGCTCTTAAACATGGGCCATGTGTTTGTTAGGAGAAGGCCCTGAGCCTGTGACCAAAACCAAAGAAACTGAATCCAAAGACAGCTTCAGGGAGCATACACTCCATGACAGCTTGACATTGTTTTAGAAAGATTACGATGCTCTCATGCTGATTTGTTTCTTACATATGGATTAGGAATATGTTTTTACCTTCTTCTTTGTTTTTGTTTTTGTTTTGTTTTGTTTTGTTTTGAGATGGAGTCTGGGTGCTGGGATTACACACATGAGCAACCACGCCCGGCCTTATCTTCTTTGAAAGGTAGAATAAGTTTATCCCCCCGGTTTAAAGGTACACACACACATACACACCTATATAACCCTCTAATACAAGTTGAAGTTCTCTCGGGTATTTCAGATTGGTATTTAAACATCACTACAATTGCAACATAAGAGAAAACAGTCATTCATTTCGGGACTTCAGTAATGATTTTTATTCATTTTATTCCTTTGTGCTTGGCTGAGGGAGACGTCACAAATCTGATTAAGTTACATCTTTTCAAAACAGAAAAATTAACACACAATTATATTTTCATACTCCTGAGATTTTTTTTTTTTGTTCTTGCCCATGAAGAAAATGTTATAAACTACTGGCAAAAAAAAAAAAAAAAAAGCTCATTAAATTACACACATGCTCTGTTCATAGCAGCTGCCAATCTTCCCACTTAATAATTTATTGGAGGAAAAGACTAATATATCAAAGACATGTTTTTAAAGAACAAATGGTGGCTTATGTTTATCACCGTTTCCGCAGTCACTCAGACTTTTCATTTAATGTTTCTTTCATTTGGTGTCTTAATTTATGACACACACAGGTTCAGTTTTAAAAACTATCCAGAAAACAATACAGTTCCAGTTTTCTTAGAACTCCTTTACCAAATCTAATTCTTCCACAAAGTTAGTGTTAGAGATCAAGCAAGTCACTGTTAAATTTTACAGATTCCGGATAGTAAATATGAGAGCCACTAATTCACATAACAATTGTCTGTAATATAGCTTACACATATTTGTATTATTTTCCAAATATATGTAGATTCAAAAATTTTAAATGCATTATTAATTCCATAATAGATATTGTCAGGGAGGTTTTTAAACTTTAGTATTTCAAATTTTTCTAACGTATTTTCTAATCTATTTAACTTTTTAATTATATAAGAAATTTTTATATAAAGAAATACCAAAACTTTACTATTTACAAGATATTGATAGATTGAGAATGTTAGTACAACTATTCTCTACCTGGCTGATATTTTTAGATATTTAAGCAAGGGAAGGTAAACTTACTAAGATTTTTATTTTCCTAAAGTGATATTAAAAACAAATTCCTATGTGAGCACAGGTTACTTTACCATATTATGTGTCAAAATACACTAAGAATCATTATTATTAAAAAAAAAGTTGAAACTACAGCTATCAGAAAAAAGAGCTTCATTTTTTTGTTAATAAGCTGTTGATAACCAGTAGCCATAAGATGATAATGCCTCAGTTTTATACCATTCTTTAAATCTGTCAGTGTCTTTCAGAGATTCTAATGTATTTTACCTCAAAAAAAAAAAGACATGGATAAATTGAGGTTATTATTATTTTACAGATTTAAAGGGGACAGAATTCAGGACCATATATGACAGTTACATTGGACCAAATCAATGTGCTAGATTAGATCTGAGAGATGTGTTGCACCCAGAACCTCTGGCTGTGGGTCCAAGTCTCACTTCTAGTCTCATGCCATGATGCTTTCCCAAAAGAAAAAAGCTAGAGGGAAAAAGATGAAAGGAGATCTATTTAAAAAGAAAGAGAGGAGATGACATGTGGAGTTAGGAATATACTAAATAACTTTGCTATTGTTTATACTGAAGAGTTAATATAGTCCCTGTAAAGAAGTAGGAAACCAAGCATTATATAGAGTTATATTTGTAGAGGAAACCACAGAAGCTAAACACAGGCTAGAAATCCTCCAAATTATAGGAAGAAAGATGAGGCCATGCAAAACACACACACACACACACACACACACACACACACACACACACACAAGCAGTAAACAAAAACAACAAAAGCTAGACCATACACGGATATAATTAAACATGATTGGGGTGGGGGGATTTGAGGAGTCTTGCTTCCAATTAAAGACTTATGCAACTTTTCAGGCCTGACCACAGGCCATTACAAAATCTGTACCTGACAGGCCTCATGGGGGAAAGTTGCCCTTCCTCTATGAGACTTGGTGCACAGCCAACACACTGAAGTCTCTGAGAGAAGTCCCAGTCAAGGTCTCAGGCTCCTTTGGCCAGGCATGCTCTTACATGTATTGGCATTTCTAGCCCAGGTGACTTCATTCTTATCTCTTTATCTGAGTCCTTCATCATCTCTGCTGAGACCTCATCATGGGAGGAGCAAGGGAGAACCTTAATGACACATTTCCCTACTCCGACTAGGTACCCAATACTTTTCCACCCTAGCCTTTAACCCTCTCTTTCTTCAGGAAATATAAATAACCCAAACTGACCTCACAGATGAGCAAACAATGACCAATTATTATTTAGAAATTGGAAAGAATGTGCTGAAGAACAACTCCTTCTCACTGTAACACAAATCTACACATAGAAGGTACACAAAACTAAACAAGAAATCTGTGAAGAGAAATGCTGCATGACTGGGGAAAACTATACCTTTCAGTGACTTTGACACACCTTGACTGTACCTTTTTATAGCCTGGATATTTATACCATGGCCATGCATTGCATATTTAAAAATATTTTAAATGATCATGCCAAATGCAAATGCTAAAGCAATATCACAAGACATATATATAAATATATATACACACATAATATATATATGTAGATACACAGACATATATATATATATACACACATACATATATGTAATAACTCAAAGCTATAAGGCATCATCATTCTTTTTGGAAATCACAACATATTAGTATCATTACAGAGGATGATACCACATGTTTATATTATTTATGCTACATAATTTTGGCAACCATCTACCGTATTCACAGGTAACAAATTATATCAAAATCACAACTTTATGCCTTTCAGTTTCAGGATGCATATGTACCTTTGAACATGTAACAAACACCAAAAAATAAAATAATAACATCTAAAAGTAAAGACAGCATCTAGTCCCCCAGTGGTTCCTTTTTCATGTTCTCTGTTGCTTATTAACATGTCACTCTTCAGAAAATCCTGACTCAAACATCTCTACTTCAGAATTATATTTGATTCTATTTTTTTCACTGGCCCTGGTCAAGAGTTAGGTTCTATGGTACCCAATCTATGTTTGCATATGTCATTTCTGCTTCTTTAACTCCTCAGCTCTTCTCTTTGTTTCATTCCCCATGGTCCCTTGCCTAGATATCTGAAGAAAAGAAGAGTTTTTGCCCATGGTGATTCACACTTTATCTTATCGGATTTATTATTCAAAACCAAAGCTCTAACTTCCAACCTTAGATGTCATTAAGGAATGACATTTCTAATATTTCCCTAAAATGCCCATAGAATTAAAAACTCAGCCCACAAAAAAGCAGTATAATAATAACATTAGAAGGTGTCTTAATAGTTACAAGACAGAAGTGAAGAGTGGCACTAAAACAACCAAAAACTATCACAACTGCAGCTCAGATCATAATAAGGATTCAAATCATAAAGAGAGAATATATGAAGAAAAAAAAGGCAGGCAAACTTTGTATCCACCTCCCCCCCCATACATATGCATATGTCCTCTGAACCCCGGCTCACAGAGGAAGGAAGCTTTCCAACCAGAAGACAGGGCACTTTGCTCCTCAAACACTGGGGGCTGCTTATGAGACGGGGCCTGTTTTCATGTTCTACACTTATTCAGAAAGCTTTCAGAAAAGACAGCCTGCAAAAGAATGAAATTGGACACTTATCTTATGCGATATCCAAAACTCAATTCAAAATAGATTACAGATTGAAACATAAGACCCAAATCTATAACATTCGTAGGAAAAAAAAACATAGGAGAAAAAACTACATGACTTTGGTCTGGGCAATGATTTTTTAGACTTGACTCCAAAAACTCAAGCAATAGAAACAAAGACAAACGGGATTATATCAAAATAAAAAGCTACTGCACATCAAAGAAAACAGCAGTGAAGAGACAATCTATGGATTGGGAGAAAATATTTGTAAGCCATATATCTGATAAGCTATTAATATCCAAAATATATAAGAAATTCAAACAAACTTTCTCAGAAAGAAAACCAATAATCTAATTAAGTAATGGGCAAGAAACACATTTCTAAAAATAAGACATCTGAATAGCTAACAGATACATGAAGAAATGTTCAACATTTCTAATCATTAGGGAGATGCAAATTAAAAACACAATGAGATATCGCTTTACATTTGTTAAATCTGTTATCAAAAAGAGAAAAGACAAGTGTTGGTGAGGATGTGGAGAAAAGGGAACCCTTACATGCTATTGATAGGAAAGTGTATTAGTATAAACATTATGAAAGAGAAAGTATAAAGATCACTCAAAAAAACTAAAAATATAATATTATTTGACCCAGCAATTCTGATTCTGGGTATTTAACTGAAAGATTTGAAATCATTATGTTGAAGAGTTAGCTGTAGTCCCATGTTCATTGCAGCGCTATTCACAATAGCTAAGTTATGGAATCAACCTGCATGTCCATCAAGGGATGGATAAATAAAGAAAATGAATAAAGAAAAAATATATATGCATACATACATACATATATATACATATACATACAATGGAATACTATTCAGCCCTTAAAAAGGAAGAAATTATGTCATTTGTGATGATATGGACAGAATTAGAGAACATTATGTTATGGGAAATAAGTCAAATACAGAAAAACAAATACCACATATTGTCACTAACATGTGGAATCTAAAACAACTGAAATCACAGAAACAGACAGTAGAATCATGATTACCAAAGACTGAATGGTGAAGAGAATCAGAAGATAATAGTCAAAGCATACAAAGGCTCAATTAGATAGAATAAATAAATCTGATTTTATTTTGAGATCTATTGCACAACATGCTAAATACAGCTAATAACTGAGTACTGTACATTTCAATATTGCTAGAAAGTAACCGTCTAATATGCTTATCACACAAAAGTTAAAATATTTGAAGTAATGGGTATGCTAATCAGCTTAATTTAGTTATTCCATATTCTCATCAAAAATCACAATAGAGGTGGAACAAGATGGTAGAATGGAAGCCTCTACTGATTGTCCCTCCTGCAGAAACACCAAATTTTAACAACTAACTACACACAAAAAAAGCACCATCATAAGAACCAAAAATTAGGTGAGCAATTACAGTACCTGGTTTTAACTTCATATCACTAAAAGAGGCACTGAAGAGGGTGGGAGAGACAGTCATAAATCGCTGATTACATCCCTCCCCCATACCCCTGCAGCAGCTGTATGGTGTGGAGAGGGAATCTGTGCACTTGGGGGAGGAAGAGCACAGTGACTGGGGGACTTGGCACTGAACTAAATGCTGCCCTGTCACAGCAGAGAGCAAAATCATGCAGGGCTCAGTCAGTGCCCACACATGGAGGTAGCATTTGGACCAGCCCTAGCTGGAGGGGAGTCATCCATCCCAGCAGTTGGAACCTGAGTTTCAGCAAGCCTTACCATCTCTGGCTAAAGGGCTCTAGGGTCCTAGGTAAACTTGAAAGGGAGCCTAGAACACAAGGACTAAAATTCCCAGGCAAATCCTAATTCTAGGCTGGGATTACAGCCAGTGGACTAGGGTGGCATGTGACCTAGGGAGACACCAGTGGGGTCAGCTAAGGAAGTTCTTGCACCACCCTTCCCTCAACCCAAGGCAGCATAGCTGGTGGCAATGAAAGTGACTCCTTCCTTCTGTTAGAGAGGAGAGAAAAAATAAACAGGACTTTTAACAGCTCAGCCACAATCAAATAGGGCACCAGGCAAATTCATGAGGCCTCCAATCTAGGCCTTTGCTCCGGGATGACATTTCTAGAATAACTTCAGCCAGAAGGGAACCCGCTGCCTTGAAAGGAAGGCCCCAGTCGTGGCAGGACTCATCACTCGATGACGAAAGAACTTTTGAGTCCTGAATAACTGGCAGTGATACCCAGGTAATATGCCATGGGCCTTGGATGAGACTGAGTTGTGTTGGCTTCAGGAGAGATCCAGCACATTCCTAGCTGTAGTGGCTATGATAAAATAATCTTTCTGCTTGAGAAGGGCAGAGGGCAAAGGAAAGATGACTTTGTCTTGAATCTTATGTACCAGCTCAGCCATAGTGGGGTGGAGCGCTTATGGTACCTGAGTGAGCTCTTAGGGTATCAGAGTCCAAGCCTAGGCTCTTGGACATTATTTCTGGACCTGTCTTGGACCAGAAGGGAGCCCACTGCCTTGAAGGGTGAGTCACAGGCCTGGCAGCATTTATCACAAGCTGATTCTTGGGCTTTAAAGGGACATCAGCGTTGGCCTTGAAGAACTCCCTGTGAGCCAGTAGTGATGGTGGCCACTGAGAGAGGCTCCTCTGACAGTCAAAAGGGAGGAAAAGGAGGGAAGGATTCTGACTTGTGGTTTGACAGCCAGCTTAGCCGCAGCAAAATAGAGTACCAGGTAGATTTCTAAGATACTTGACTCTAATCCCTGGATCCCAGACAGCTTCTCTGGGTCCAGCCAGGGCCTGGGGGAACTCACCCCCTGAAGGGAATGACACAAACATGGCTGGTTTCTCCACCTGCTGATTGTAGAGCCCTAGGGCCTTGAGTGAACATAGGTGGTAGGCAGGTAGTGGTTATGTTAGGTAGTTAGATAGACATTAGCAGCTGAGAGGGGGCCAAAGAAGAAAGCAAAAAGGCTGCCACTATGACAGTAGCCCAGCCTTCCCCAAAAATATGGGCACAAACAAGCCCAGACTGTAAACACTAAAATAAATACTTAACTCTTCAACGTCCAGACACTGACAAACATCTCTGAACATCAAGGCCATCCAGGAAAACATGACCTCACCAAATGAGCTAAGGCAGGATCAATCCTGGAGAAACAGAGATATGTGACCTTTCACATAGATAATTCAAAATAGCCGTTTTGAGGAAACTCAAAGAAATTCAAGATAACATAGAGAAGGAATTCAGAATTCTATCAGATAAATTTAATAAAGAGATTGAAAAAATCAAAAGAATCAAGAAGTAATTCTAGAGTCGAAAAATACATTTGATTCCTGGGTGCAGTGGCTCATGTCTGTAATCCCAGCACTTTGGGAGGCCAAGGCAGGTAGATCACCTGAGGTCAGGAGTTCAAGACCAGCCTGGGCAACATGGTGAAACCCCATCTTGACTAAAAAATACAAAAATTAGCCAGGCGTGGTGGTGTGCACCTGTAATCCCAGTTACTCGGGAGGCTGAGGCAGGAGAGTCACTTGAACCTGGGAAGCAGAGGTTGCAGTGAGCCAAGATTGCGCCATTGCACTCCAACCTGGGTGACAGGGTGAGGCAGTGAGCCAAGATTGCACCACTGCACTCCAGCCTGGGTGATAGACTGAGACTCTGTCAAAAAAAAAAAAAGAAAAAGAAAAAAGAGAGAAAGAGAAAGGGAAAGAGAAAGTGAAAGGGAGAGAGAGAGGAAGGAAGGAAGGGAGGAAGGGAGGGAGGGAGGGAGGGAGGGATGGAGAAAGGAAGGAAGGAAGGAAGGGGAAGGTACAATTGACATACTAAAGAATGCATCAGAGCCTCTTAACAGTATAATTGATCAAGCAGAAGAAAGAATTGATGAGCTTGAAGACAGGCTACTTAAAAATACAGTCAGAGGAGGCAAAAGAACAAAGAACAGACAAGAATGAAGCACGCATATAAGATTTAGAAAATAGCCTCGAAAGGGCAAATCTAAGAGTTATTGACCTTAAAGTGGAGGAAGAGAAAGAGATAGAGGCAGGAAGTTTATTCAAAGGGATAATATCAGAGAACTTACCAAACTGAGAGAAGGATATCAACATTTAAGTACAAGAAGGTTATATTACGTTGGTGCAAATGTAATTGTGGTAATTACTTTTAATTGCCAAAAGTAATTACTTTTAATGTCAAAAACCGTGATTACTTTTGCACCAAACAAATAGAACACCAAGCAGATTTAACCAAAAGAAGACTACTCTGAGCCATTTAATAATCAAACTCCCAAAGGTCAAGAATAAAAAAAGGATTCTAAAAGCAGCAAGAGAAAGGAAACAAATAACATACAATGAAGCTCCAATATGTCTGGCAGCAGACTTTCAGTGGAAACCTTACAGGCAAAAAGGGAATGGCAAGACATATTTAAAGTGTTGATAGAAAAAACTTTTATCCTACAAGAGTATATCCAGTGAAAATATCTATCAAACATGAAGGGAAAAAAAAAGACTTTCCCAGTCAAAGAAAAGCCGAATGATTTCATCAATAACAGACCTGTCCTACAAGAAATGCTAAAAACATTTGTTCAATCTGAAAGAAAAGGTTGTTCATGAGCAATAAGAAATTATCTGAAAGTGTAAAGCTCACTGGTAATAGTGAGCACACAGAAAAATACAGAATATTATAATACTGTAATTGTGGTGTGTAAACTACTCTTATCAAGTAGAAAGACTAAGTGATGAACCCAATCAAAAATAATAACTACAATAACTTTTGAAGACATAGATAGTACAAAAAACTTAAAGAGAAACAAAAAAAGTTAAGAAGCTGGAGGACAAGATTAAAACCTAGAGTTTTTAGTAGTTTCCTTTTGCCTGTTTGTTTATGCAATCACTGTTAAGTTGTCATCAATTTAAAATAGTGGGTTATACAATAGTATTTGCAAGCTTCACGGTAACTCAAATCAATGAACATACAACAGATAAACAACAAAATAAAAAGCAGAAAATTAAATCATACAACCAGAGAAAATCATCTTCAATAAAGGAATAAAAGAAAGATGAGAAGATGCCAAAACAAACAGAAAACAATAACATAGCAGGAGTAAATCCTTTTTTATCAATAATATTGAGTGTAAGTTGACAAAACTCTCCAATCAAAAAACAGAGTGGCCAAATGAAAAAAAATGTACAAGACTCAATGATCTGCTGCCTACAAGAAATACATTTTTCCTATAAAAATACACATAGACTGAAAATAAAGGGATGGAAAAACTATATTCCATGCAAATGGAAACCAAAATGTAGCATGAGTAGCTATATTTATATCAGACAAAATGGATTTCAAGACAAAATCCATAAGAAGAGACAAAGAAGGTCATTACATCACGATAAAAGGGTCAATTCAGCAAGAAGGTAAAACAATTGTAAATATTTATGTACCCAACACAGGAGCACTCAGATATATAAAGCAAATATTATGAGAGATAAAGAGAGAGATAGACCTCAATATAACAATACCTGGGGACTTCAATGCCCCACTTGCAGCACTGAACAGATATTATAAACAGAAAATCAACAAAGAAACATTGGACTTAATCTGTACTATAGAACAAATGGATCTAACAGATACTGCAGAACCTTTCCCTCCACAGCTTCAGAATATATATTCTCCTTCTCAGCACGTAGATCACTGTCAAGGAAAGAACATACATGAGATCACAAAACAAATCTTAAAAGATTCAAAAACTTTGAAATAATAACAAATATCTTCCCTGACCACAAGAGAATAAAGCTAGAAATCAAGAACAAGAAGAATTTTGGAAATTACAGAGACACATGGAAATTAAACAATATGATCACAAATAACCAGTAGATTAGTAAAGAAATTAAGAAAGAAATTGAAAAATTTATTTAAATGCTAATGAGAGCACAACATACCAAAATCTATGAAATACAGCAAAAGCAGTACCAAGAAGAAAATTTATAGCTATAAATGGCTACAACAAAAAAGAAGAAAAATGTCAAATAAAGAACCTAATAATCATATTAAAGAACTAGAAAAGCAAGAGCAAACCAAACCCAAAATTGGTAAAAAATAAATAAAGATTAAAACAGAAATAAATGAATGTGAAATAAAGAAAATAATATAAACGATCAATAAAATAAAAATTTGTTTTTTGAAAAGATAAATAAAATTGACAAACCTGTAGCCAGACTGAGAAAAAAAGAGGGAAAACCTAAATAAATAAAATCAGAGATGAAAAAGGAGAAATTACAACTGATACCACAGCAATTCAAAGGATCATTAGTGGCTACTATATGCCCATAAATGGAAAATCTAGAGGAAATGGATAAATTCCTAGACACATACAACCTACCAAGATTGAACCATGAAGAAATTCAAAATCTGAACATGTGAATAACAAGTAACAAGATTGAAGCCATAATAAAATATCCCAGCAAAAAATAAAGCCTGGGACCCAATGATTTCACTGCTGAATTCTACCAAATGTTTAACAAATTAATACCAATCCTACTCAAACTATTCTGAAAAGTAGAAGAGGAGAGACTACTTCCAAACTCAATCTATGAGGCCAGTATTACCTTAATACCCACATCAGACAATATATCAAAAAAAGAAAACTATGTGCCAATATCTCTGATGAATGTTGATGCAAAAATCCTCAACAACATACAAGCAAACTGAATTCAACAATGAATTAAAAAGATCATTCATCATGACCAAGTGAAATTTATCCTAGGGATGTAAGGATGTTTCAACATATACAAATCAATCAATGTGATACATCATAACAACAGAATGAAGGATAAACACCATATAATCATTTCAATTGATACTGAAAAAGTATTCAGTAAATTCAACATCCCTTTATGATTAAAAACCCTCAAAAAACTGGGGAACATCCCTTAACATAATAAAAGTCATATACAACAGACCCACAGCTAGTATCACACTGAATGAGGGAAAACCTGAAAGCCTTTCCTCTAAGATCTAAAACACAACAAGGACACCTTCACCACTGTTATTTAACATAGTACTGGAACTTCTAGCCAGAGCAATCAAATAATAATAATAATAATAATAATAAATAATAATAATAAAGGGCATCCACACTAGAAAGGAAGAACTCAAATTATCCTTGCTGCAGATAATATTATCTTATATTTGAAAAAAATCTAAACACTCTAGCACAAAAAACTACTAGAACTGATAAACAAATTAAAGTTTCAAGATACAAAATCAACATACAAAAATCAGTAGCATTTCTACATGACAACAGTGAACAATCTGAAAAAGAAATCAAGAAAGTAATCCCATTTAATATAACCACAAATAAGATTAAATATCTAGAAATTAACCCAACCAAAGAAGTGAGAGATCTCTACAATAAAAATGGCAAAACATTGGTGAAAGAAATCAAAGAAGGAATAAAAAAATGGAAAGATATTCCATATTCATGAATTGGAAGAATCAATATTGTTAGAATATCCATATTTCCCAAAACAATCTACAGATTCAATACAATCCCTATCAAAATACCAATGGCATTCTTACAGAAATAGAGAAAACAACCCTAAAATTTATATGAAACCACAAAAGACCCAAAATAGACAAAGCTATCCTAAGCAAAAAGAACAAAACTAGAGGAATCACTTTACCTGACTTCAAAATATACTACAGAGCCATAGTAACCAAAACAGCATGGTACTGGCATAAAAACAGGCACATAGGCCAATGCGACAGAATAGAAATCCCAGAAACAAATCCATACACCCATAGGAAATTCATTTTTGACAAAGGTGTCAAGAACATACATTCAGAAGAAGATGGTCTTCAATAAATGGTTCTGGGAAAACTGGATATCCATATGCAGAGGAATGAAACTAGACCCCTATTTTCTCATCATATAAAAAGGTAAAACCAAACGAATGAAAGAATTAAATCTAACACCTCAAAATATGAAACTATTACTTGAACAGTTACTATTACTATTACTTTGGAAAACTCTCCAGGACATTGGTCTGGGCAAAAATTTCTTGAGTAATACCCCACGAACACAAGTGATCCAAAGCAAAAACAGACAAATGGGATCACATCAAGTTAAAAAACTTCTGCACTGGAAAAGAAATAACCAACAAAGTGAAGAGACAGCCCAAAGCATGGGAGAAAATATTTGCAAACTATCCATCTGAAAAGGGATTAGTAACCAGAATACATAACAAGTTCAAACAGATATACAGGAAAAATCTAATAATTTGATTTAAAAATGGGCAAAAAATCTGAATAGACATTTTGCAAAAGAAGGCATACAAATGACAAACAGGTATACGAAAAAGTTCCCAACATCACTCATCATCAGAGAAATGCAAACCAAAACTACAAAAAGATATCTCACCCCAGTTAAAATGGCTTTTATCCAAAAGACAGGCAACAAGCAACAAATGCTAGAGAGGATGCAGAGAAAAGGGAACCCTCATACACTGTTAGTAGGAATGTAAATTGGTAGTCACTATGGAGAAAAGTTTGGAAGTTCCTCAAAACTAAAAATAGAGCTACCAAAGGACCTAGCAATCTCACTCCTAGGTATATACCCAAAAGAAAGGAAATCAGCATGTAAAAGGGATATCTGCACTCCCACATTTATCACAGCACTGTTCACAATAGGTAAGATTTGGAAGTAACCTAAGTGTCCATCAGCAGATGAATAGATAAAGAAAATGTGGCACATATACACAGTGGAGTGCTATTCAGCCATAAAAGAGAATCCCATTATTTGCAACATGTATGGAACTGGTGGTCATTGTGTTAAGTGAAATAAACCAAGTACAGAAAGACAAACTTCATATATTCTCACTTATTTGTGGGAGCTAAAAATTAAAACAATTGAATTCATGGAGAAAGAGAATAGAAGGATAGTTACCAGAGGCTGGGGAGGGTAGTGGGTGTGTAGGGAGGGAAGTGGGGATGATTAATGGGTACAAGAAGTAGTTGTAAAGAATGAATAAGACCTAGTATTTTATAGCATAACAGTCAATAATAACTTAATTATACATTTTAAAATAACTAATAGTATAATTGGATTGTTATAACAAAAAGGATAAGTGTTTGAGGGGGCAGATACCCCATTTGTCATGATGTGATTATTATGCACTGTACGCCTATATCAAAGTATCTCATGTACCCCATAAATATATATAACCCTTATGTACCAACAAATATTAAAAATTAAACAACTTAAATCATAACATTACTTTGTACCCCGTAAATATATACAATTATAATTTGTCAATACATATTTTTTTCTAAAAAAAAAAAAGGCAACAAAGGTGAGGAACAATGCTCCTACAATACAAAGGAAGTACAAAGTAAAACCTTGCTAAAAACCAAGACTGAACTAAGACCTATACATTTCTATTCAACCTATGTTGTAGGTCCAAATTCTGTATCCAACCACCACCAAAGTAAGCAGAGAGAATTCTACTGTCCATTGCTGTTGATCAACATCAACTTAATAAAAAGTTTACATTTTCTTAGATGAGTAAAACAACATCCTCTAAAAATAAACAGTGGAAAAGGAACAAAATCTCTAAGATTCAGCAAAACATGTATCTGAATATTAAGGAAAGACACTGGTATTTCCAGAAGAATGCAAGATGAAGCAGCCTCAATGAAATAGAAACATAAAACCCAAGGAAAGGAATGTCTGAGATAAAATTGTAACTTTTTTTTTAAGGCCCTCCAGAATGAGAACAACAGGTTAATAGGTTAAAATTAGTAAGGACTGCAAGGAAACCAAAATTATTTTCTTAAATTAAAAACAAAACTATGAATAAAGGCTAAAAGGACAAATGAAAATACTACTAAGCCTTGATGATTTGACAAGGAGTTTAATGGGTTTTGTTTTCTTGCTTTTTTTGGTTAACTTCAGAGGAAAGAACATAAAACATGTAAATATCTGAACAAGAATCAAAGTGAGGCTGCCTTGGACCTCTCCATTGCATGCTGACTGTCAGAAGACAGTAGGATAATGCCCAGAGTCTGGTGAGAAAATGTGTGACCTTAGAATGGCATGTGCATTCTTGTCTTTCAGAAGGGAAGGCTGAAACCTACTCTCTGGTAGTCAGGGAATCAGGACAGGGAATCTCTCACTGCAGTCATCCTTTGTTACAAAAATAAAACACAACTAAGATTAATTTTACCAAACTGGGAATTAAGCATTATTATAATGAATGAAAAAGTTGGTGGTCAGTAGAAACAAATTAAAACAGACATATATCTTAAAAAAAAAAAAGAGTGCAATACATACGAATTTATTTGAAAAGAAAAAATAATAAAGTAATAACCTAAAAGCAGTCTAAATCTAAAATCAAAGAACATTATCAAGACTGAAGAGAAAAAGGACAGATCTAATAATCCTTAGATTTATGTGTCTGTAACTCAAAAATATTTCACTATTGATTCTGGAAATTCAAATTTTTGAAAAATTCAAAGGAATACAACATAATCACATGGGATTATAGTGGCAATGCAAAAGTGGTTTTAATTAATCTAGACATCTAATTAAAGATGAAGTTTAAATGTACATTTTACTTTTATTGCCTCACCAAATTCTATCAAAATGATAGCTCACTCTATAGTGAACAGTCAGTAAGCCCTAGCCATATACCAAGGGTTTTCATTAAGGATTTTAATGCTCACATATTAAGTAGGAGTAGACAATCACAAAACATTAGCTATTTGAAGGAAATATATGACATGAACAATACAAAAACAAACAAAAAACTCCAGAAAATTCAGGTAGCTGAAACAATGCAGATAAACTAATTTAAAAGAAAAATACATCAATATTTAAAGAAAAAATGATTTATTTAGATATTGCATTTCTAAAAAGTAGGATGCCATTTTTTTCATAAATAAGTCAAGAGAGAAAAAATAATTCTTGAAATATTTAGAAATATGACTAAAATAGAATGCTCAGTAAAGAGCTGGAAGGTAAAAAAAATTTTCAGTTGGCCTCTATTAGTCTTATCTGTAAAATTATTAAAAACAGTATCTGCCTGGGATGACAGTTGGTGCACACTGATAGTGTGGGGAGGTGACATAACATGGATGACCTGTGCAGGTCTGCCAAGCAGATGGATGGATGGATGGACGGATGGATGGACAGACGGATGGATAGATTAAAAAGATAGATAGATGAGATAGATAGGTATGTAGGTACGTAGATAGATAAATAGATGGATTCACAGTATTATTCAGCCAGTGGCATCATCCACTGAAAAAAGAAGAATAAACAACAACACACACATAAATTAAGAGATTTGTTACTCAAAGATAAAAAAGAAAGTAGAGACCAGGCTTGGTGGCTCACGCCTGTAATCCCAGCACTTTGGGAGGCTGAGGGGGGGCGGATCACTTGAGGCCAGGAGTTCAAAACCAGCCTGGCCAACATGATGAAACCCCGTCTCTACTAAAAATACAAAAATTAGCCAGGTATGGTGGCAGGCGCCTGTACTCCCAGCTACTCTGGAGGCTGAGACATGAGAATCATTTGAATCAGGTTGGGGAGAGGTTGCAATGAGCTGACATCGCACCACTGCAATCCAGCCTGGGCAACAGAGCGAGACTCCATTTCCAAAAAAAAGAAAAATAGAGACTTCAAAGAGTTTGGTAAAGAAGAAAATATATGAAACGCAGAATTTTCTATAAAAATAAATATTCAGCTACTTTGTGGTAAGCATAGGACAGAAATGTTAGCTATGCTTCATCTGCCTATGAAGACTTCATGACTAAAACACCAAAAGCAATGGCAACAAAATTCAAAATTGACAAATGCGGTTTAATTAAACTAAAGAGCTTCTGCACAGCAAAAGAAACTAGCATCAGACTGAACAGGGAACCTAAAGAATGGGAGAAAATTTTTGCAATCTACCCACCTGACAAAGGTCTAATATCCAGAATTTTCAAGGAACTTAAACAAATTTACAAGAAAGAAACAAACAATCCCATCAAAAAGTGGGCAAAGGATATGAACAGACATTTCTCAAAAGAAGACATTCAACTGGCCAACAAACATGAAAGAAGCTCAACATCACTGATCCTTAGAGAAATGTAAATCAAAACCACAATGAGATACCATCTCACGTCAGTCAGAATGGTGATTATTAAAATGTCAGGAAACAATACATGCTGGTGAGGCTGTGGAGAAATAAAATCGCTTTTATACTGTTTGTGGGAATGTAAATTTGTTCAACCATTGTGGAAGACGTGTGGTGATTCCTCAAAGATCTAGAACCAGAAATATCATTTGATCCAGCAATCCAATTACTGGGTATATACCCAAAGGAAAATAAATCATTCTACTATAAAGACACATGCACACGTATGTTTATTGCAACACTATTTATGGTAGCAAAGACATGGAACCAACCCAAATGCCCATCAATGATAGACTGGAAAAAGAAAATGTGGTACATGTACTCCATGGAATACTATGCAGCCATAAAAAAGAACGAGATCATGTCCTTTTGCAGGGACATGGATGAAGCTGGAAGCCATCATCCTCAGCAAACTCATAAAGGAACAGAAAACCAAACACCACATGTTCTCACTCATAAGTGGAAGTTGAACAATGAGAACACATGGACACAGGGAGGGGAACAACACACACCTGGGCCTGTTGGCGGGTAGAGGGCAAGGGGAGGGAAAGCATTAGGACAAATACCTAATGCATGCAAGGCCTAAAACCTAGATGACAGGTTAATAGGTGCAGCAAACCACCACGGCATATGTATACCTAAGTAACAAACCTGCACATTCTGCACTTGTATCCTGGAACTTAAAGTAAATTTTTTTTAAAAAAAGTAAAGAAAAAATAATGACTCCTAAATAGGCTAGAGTTGTCTGGCTATAGGTTTACCAGGCAACCACCACCCATCTCTATTTTAATAGAGATGTAGTCAAGTTTCAATCTTAGAAAGAAGCTGAGAATAATCCTCCCTTCCTGTGTGAGTCAGTAGACTCACCTGTGCCTGGCACTGACAGGATTAGAGCTCCCCAGGTGTAAGGAGCATGTAGGGAACATAGAAGCTGTGCAAGCAAGGCATGCAGAAAACACCCTGGCATGAGGGAACCTGCACATTGCTCATGGTGGCTTAGTTTCTATGTAACGAGAGCAGCTGAAAGGGAGATAAGGTCTCCCAGTGAGGACTTCCCATGAAGCGCTAGGGAGCTCAAACAATATATTAACTAAAATTTGAAGATTGGAAGTCGACATGTGAACTCTCACACAGCTCAATACATAAGCCATAGCGTGAGGTTGCTTTTGACGTTTAACAATCTGTGGACAAAAAAAAAAAAAATGTGTTACATGCTGGTGTTTTTATCATCCTTCACTCCCAGTACTGTATTACATTAACTAAAGAAAATATGGTTTTATGTTGGCATAGCCTTAGAAAGAAAAATAGATTCTAGATTAACAAAGACTTCAACTCGGCTTTTATATTTAAATGTCTGAGAAAGAAAGCAATTCCTTCCAATATTCCTCTTCAGTGAAATTATCCCTTAATTAACAAAATGCTTAGGGACATTTCTCCGCCAGGGGACTTTCAGAAGTTTTCTAATACCACTGCGTAATGAAACAAAGACTGTACCCAAGATGATTTAATTATAGTGGCATATCGGGATAGGAATATAGAAATATATGTATTCCTATAGGATAAACAATATTTTCCAGTGAAAACTAACAAATGAAAATACTCGCTGTGTATGAGCAGTTAGCAGTTTGTTATATACAGAAGATATTTTCCACTAAAAAGAACATATTATCAGTTCTAGCTATGCATCAACCTTGTTGTTCTTGAAAAGACACAAAAGACATCGTGGATGACAGAAGCCACACCACAGGTAGTGTGTTAGCAAACAGGAAGTAAACATCAACAAGTAGCAAATACAAATGCTTCTCAACTTAGGATGGGGTTACATCCCAATAAACCTATTGTAAGTTTAAAATACTGTAAGTTGAAGATGCATTTATTGCACCTAACCTACCAAGCATCATCACTTATCCTAGCCTATCTTAAGTGTGCTCAGAACACTTACATTAGCCTACAGCTAGGCAAAATCATCTAACATAAAACCTATTTCATAATAAAGTCCTGAATATCTCAAGTAATTTAGTAAATACTGTACTGAAAGTGAAAAGAATGATTGTATGGGTACCCAAAGTATGGTACTCACTGAAATGTGTATCATTTTTACACCAGTGTAAAGTTGGGACATCACGGACCATGTGTGCAGAGGAGTGAGCATCTTCAGTGTGAAATTAAGAACACCTCTGCACATACTGTATTCTGGGTGCTCCCCATGGAAGCCTGAGGCAGCAAGCAGCAGGGAAACCCATCTAATACAGATCTACATGGGGCCGACTGAAGTCAATGCTTGTGGCTAAATACAGATGCTTTCTGCTAGTTTGCACATTCTGCCATATCTTAGACATAGCATGGAAGAGGCAGCATTTTCTTTCACAGAATAAGACTTTTTCAGCTAAGAGATACTTTGTTCCAGGGAAGGGAAATTCAAATGAGAATATAACTATGTAATAGAGAAATGACTCAGTACATGCTGGCATAGAAAACCAGTGGAATACAAGGTAGGCATTAATGTGAAGACTGTGCAGCAGTTCTGAAAACATTTTGATATGATGATGTAAATTTAAAAACTGAATGAAATGAATGAAAAAAATATACACTGTATATGAGCATTTTTGTGTATATGTACATGCAAGCATGTGTACATGCAGACAGATAATTGATACATACAAACATAGAGGCACAGTTAGACCATTTTTTTAAACTGGTGTCTGCAAGAATAAAAATCACTTTGATGTAAAATTAGAGAGGACTTTCTTTCATTGTTTTCCTAGGTTAGTATTGTTAAATTGTCATTTAATTTTAAATGGAGAAAATTAAATTGTCAACTAGTTGCTAGTTGGTGAGGTTATGATTCAAACTACTCTAATTTGTGATTCATATTAGTCTAAAGGAAGATGAAACATTTAAAAGCAATAAATGAGTTCCATGTCTTTTTGTATATATTGGTAGTGCATTGGTTTATATGAAGCACAGTAATTTATACATAAATTTTTAAGTATTATATACATAATACTTAGAATTTTGATGGTGTCATAGCACTTCATAGTTATTGTTCACATGAATTCTATGATACGGTCACTTAAAAAACGGGAAAACCTAAGGAAAAAACAGTTTATCCCAGTTGCATATATTAAAATGGAGCAAACTCAAAAAATGCTAGTTTGAAATGTGAAGAGAAAGGCTTTTGTCTTAAGAGTTTATATCCCGTTTATTATTTAATTGTCTGATAATCTAACACACGATCATAGCGCAAGATTTGGAAAGTACAGGAAGGATTAAGAAAAAATAAAACTTAACCTATAATTCTGTGTCTATATATAACAACTATTGACCTATTAATGCATTTTGATTCATTATGTTCTTTCATTTTACTGGATTCTGTTTATATTCTTGCTGTCAAGAAGTTGGTCTTTGGTCTAATTCATCACTGCCAAATTAAACTTTCTGCAACAATGAAAATGTTTTGTATCTGTGCTGCCTGAAACAGAAGGTTCTTGTACTCTTGAAATGTTGCTAGTGGCTGCTGAGAAAAAAATTATAATTTGATTTGATTTTAACATATTTACATTTAATTTTAGATGCTACAAGTGGCTAGTGGCTATTATTGTGAACAGATGCAGGTGTATTTCTTACTTTGTGGTGACCTGCCACCTTGTTTCTTTTAAGAGTTTGTTTTTGGAATTCTTGGTTTCAACACAAAGTGCCTAAGTATGAATGTCTCATTTATTATATTCAATAAATGTAATGTTTCTTCAATTGAAGGAAGCAACAGTCTTAACACTAGAAAATCCTCACCTATTATTTCTTCAAATGGTGCCTCTCTCCCATTGTCTCTATTCTTTTGTTCAGAAATCTAATTAGACTTATGTTAGACCTCTTTCTATCCTCCATATTTCACATAATTTCATTTTCATATTTTTTATTAGCAGTACATCATTTGTTTTTAACCCAACCATTGTTTTTCTTTTTAATAGCCACAGTTTTTAATCTTAGTACTTTTTTTTTCAAATCTATTCTCTCTCATATCATGGTACTTCTTACATTTTCTTTGTGATTGTAGTTCTCTTACATTACATTCTTTGTGTGCCAATTCTCCTTTTTGTGATAGCCATTAATTTATCTATATAGTAGATAGTTGTCTTGTGTGTTTTGTAATGTTTGTTTAGTCACTCCACTTTAATGGGCTCTTGAAAAAAAATGATATATGAGCTGTGAGACCATCCTTGCAAAGATTTGTGTTTTCTTCTTAAAAGTGCCCATGGGTATCATCAAACTGAGGTCAATGTTTATGTTATATTCTTGGGTAGGGGGAGTTGTGGTTCTCAGATCACAGGTAGTCAAATTTAAACTCCCACAATTCTAGGAGTTTCAGTTCTAGGGTATAAGCTCAGGTTTTCAAAATTCCAGGGGAGATTTTTTTCTTTTCACCTCTAATCCTAGACAGAAATTAATGTTTTCCTATTATCTTTCTATGCCAGTAGAAGGTCTTTTCTAGATCCTACCCCTTCAGTAAGGATGCAGCCTTTCAACGATCCTAGCTTTATACAGAGTTTCAGTTCAATGCTTCTCCACATGCAGAGCTGCAGTCATAGCTCTTGCACCATCAGGGACATTAAAACCTATGCCTCCAAATCAGAAATTTACATATGCTTTGCCCCTTTCTTAGGTGGCAACACAAGCAATTACTCTGGAATGAAAGTGTGAAAACTCTGTTTTTCCTCTGCTCTCACACCACAACAATCAACACAAGACTTCTGTGACCAAATGTGTGGGGATTTCTCCCCACCAACAATCAAGCAATCATTTCTGCAGCAGACACCAGCTGAATGTTCTCTAGTTCAGTTCTATTCTGACCCTATCTGCCTGCAGACATAATCAGATCCCACAAGTTGAGGGCTCAGTCCCCAAGACCGCTCCCTTTCAGATGCCAGTCACAAGCCTCAGGTTGTTTTACCTGAGCTTCTGACCTTTTGGGATCGGCCAGGGATCCTATGACCCTCTTCTTGGGTTTGATTAATTTGCTAGAATGGCTCACAGAACTCAGGGAAACACTTATTTGCATTTACCAGTTTATTACAAAGACTATTACAAAAGATAGAAATGAAAAGATGTATAAGGGAAAGCATGTGGGAAGGGGTATGGAGCTTCCATCCCTCTCTGGGAACCACCCTCCAGGAACTATCAAGTGTTCAGGTATCCAGAAACTCCCTGAACACAGTTTTGGGGGATTTTACAGAGCTTTTACAGAGGCATGGTTGAATAAATCGTTGGTCATTTGTGATCAACTTAACCTTCAGCGTCTCATCATCCCCTGAGATTGAGGGGTGTGGCTGGAAGTCCCAACCCTGTAATCCTGCCTTGGTCTTTCTGGTGACCAGCCCCATCCTGAAGTGACCTAGAGGCTGCCAGCGCCATAAATCATTAGCATAAAAATTACATCAGTTTGGACATTCCAAGAATTTTAGGAGTTGTAGGCTTGGAAATGGGTCTAAGACAAAAATATATATTGCACAGTATCACATCAGGTTTGTTGGTTTCTTCTTTTATGGCACCTGGAAATTTCCCTCCTTTCTTGTGACCTCAGATAGGTACTAATATAATCGTTTTAGATAATTCTTATCTAGTAATGAGAGCATTTTCAAGTTATGCTAATCTTCCATTTTAATATATTTAATATTATTTTAAATGATTTTGCACCAACATTTTGTAATTAATGTAATTGTTAAATATATAGGAACAATACCTTCTCAATTATTTACTAGAATAAATATATTTTCATTTAAACCTTTATCCAAGTTTCTGTTATCTCCCTAGGCACAAATTTCCCAGAAGGAAAATTATTAGCCCAAGTATTTTTTATATATATTGCCATGCTTAACTCCAGTAAAATTATGATTTATATTCCAAAGATAAGCATATAACAGTGTCCACTTTACTATACCTTCATGAAATTGTGCACTACATTTTAGTTGTTTATAATGATTAAAAATATATATGTATCTGTTGTTTGTTTTGCATTTTTATATTAATGATGGCAACTATTTTTAAAATGTTTATTAACCATTCACTTTCATATTGTGTTTAATGCTTAAGTCTTATGCCTATTTTTTATTTTTTTTATTTTTTACTTTTTTGAGATGGAGTCTCCCTCTGTTGCCCAGGCTGGAGTGCAACGGTGCGATCTCGGCTCACTGCAACCTCCGACTCCTGGGTTCAAGCGATTCTCCTGCCTCAGCTTCCCGAGTAGTTGGGATTACAGGTGCCCACCACCATGCTCAGCCAATTTTTGTATTTTTAGTAGAGACAGGATTTCACCATGCTGGCCAGGCTGGTCTCGAACTCCTAACCTCAGTCAATCTGCCTGCCTCGGCCTCCCAAAGTGCTAGGATTACAGGCGTGAGCCACCGTGCCCAGCTAGCCTATTTGTATTGTAATTGTAGTCTTTTCCTTATCACTATACAGTAATTTACATATTATACCTATTAATGCTTTGTCTTATTTGATCCTTGTTTTCAGCCTTTCAATTTTAATGTTTCGACTTACAGAAGAAATTTAAATTTCTATGTTTAAATATATCTGTATTTTCTACTGTAAATTTTACATTAATTTAATGTCTAAAAGAAATGTCCTTATTGAATAAACAATGTGTTTATTTGCCTTATTTCTAATTTTCTTTGAGGGATAGAAAATACCAATCTCAGGAAAATTTTGCAACTTCTTTTCCTTTTATCACTAATGTAAAATGTGTATACTACCTTTTTTATATTTTGATTTTCTCTTATCGATTAAGCAATCCAATTAGAAAGACATTATTTTATTACAAAGTCAATATAATGCACTGAAATATTTCTTAAGTCATTTAGCCATTATCAACCTATTCTTTTTGAAAAATGTCACGATTAGACCCATCTATTTATTCTTGTGTTTAAAACTTCAGAAATTCTGTGTAAAGCCTACTCTATTCTCTGCAATATCAATTGGAATTACATTAAATCTATAAAACTTGCTAGAGGAGAGTAATAGTAAGATGATTCAGCTTTTCCATTCAGCAACATGGTATTATCTTATTACTTATTTATTCTTTTATGCTGAAAACATCATCTACATTTTAACATATAGGTTGACCATATTTCCTTCTAAGGTTATTCATTACCTTGCATGTGTTTTTTTCTATTGTAATTGTTTTTCATATTATATAGCCTTGAATGTATTTATTATTTTTTCTGGCCACTTCAGTTGAAATTATTTCTTAATTGATCTTCTTGGGTATTTAAGTGTATGATGACACAAAAGATAATAATTAGCAGTATAAATACTCATACTATTTTTTAAACTATGTCTTATAGCAGGAACTTAAATTCCAGAAAATGCTAAATAATAATGTTGATCATGTTATTCTGTTTCTTATTTTAACAGGAATTACTCTAGTACTTCATAAATAAAAATGAAGAGTTGTATTTGTCATGTTTGTATGATAAACAGTCTTGTTTCTTGTGTTGATGACGTGAAACTCATTCTCCAAATATATTACACTTTGTAACTATTAGATAATTAAAGAGTTAAGGTCTCTTCCTTCCAACGTATCCTCTCATTCTCTTTCTGGTTTTCCCAACAGACTTTGCTTTACACCTTATCATTCTATGTCTTTCATATACAGAATTTCTTGACTGCAATGACTTCACATCAAAGAATGTATTTTATTTAGTAGTGTCTTTGCCTCATATGTACCTTTACTTGAATTATATATTTAAATGTTAACGTATTTATACAGTTTTGTTTTGTTTTCATTTGCATAATGGCCATTATTTTTAATTTCACTGTAATGGTGTGTTGTGTCATGTAAAAAAAAAAATACCTTTTTTAACCCAGTTTCTGAGTGTCTGATTTTTTAAGGAAAGATACTCCCAATAATATTTATTATAAAAATATGTGCCTGCTCTGTTATCTGTCAACTTTCCTTTTAAAATATATATATAGATATAACTAAGATATATATCATATGATATTTATATACATGATATTTTATATGTATATATATATCTCTTTTTCTTCTCCCTTTTAAAATATTTTATGTTCTGTCTCATTGATTGTGACTACTTTGTTTTCTCTAATAGTCAAAGGGTGGATAGGAACTGCATGTGATTTAGAGTTTCAAAAACTTGGATTCAAAGCTCCATCATGTTCTAGAAGTTTGACTTCCGGCAAGCCACTTAATTTTTCTGAATCTTAGATTCTTGTCAGTAAAATTAGGATAACAACCTCTTTGTCATTATAATTATCAAATAAGATCTAGAATGTAAAGCCCCTAACTTAATACTCGGCGAATAAGAGAGACACAGTAAATCATGGCTAATGAGATTAACATTTATGGTGTTCAGGAGCCACAAATTTCAATAATTTCAGATGTAATAGTCCAAGTAAATGTTTGATGGTGTCCATCAATAAGGCAACAAGCAATGGTGGCAACTGTGACAAACTGGAACCAACGCCAATCCAAATCCAAAATTTTAACACTATGCTGACCAAATAAAAATGCCACAGCCTTTCATATTTTAAGTAAATATCACAACATAAGATTTTCATCAGAAAACTTGTCTCCAATTTTTAGAGCCTTTTGTTAATCTTGCCACTACCTTAGCAGGACTTTAGTGTTCCAGATATGAGACTGCTAGTTTTAAGTCAAATAATTATTTATTCTTATGCCTGCTTCTCAACTGTGTTGATCAAATTCATAAAACAAATCTTAGTCTTAAATTCCTTACTTCACTTCCTTGTCTTCACTTCCTCTGGGACCTAGTCTATCATGCTGCAGCCTTGACAACTTGCCAAGACAAAAAGTTGAGAGTTACGATAGTAGGAAGAAGAGCTACAGAGAATAGAAAATAATAATAATAAAAATGCATGTGATTTCTGGCCTGAGACAACTATCAGTATATCAGGAGAACATGACATGCTCTGAGCCAAACTACAGTGGACAATTTTGAAATATATTTAGACATGTATTACTCTCAAGTTTGAAGATGTGCATTCATGGAGATTAGTAAATTAAACAGGAAAGTAAAAGAGCCCTGTTTTAGATAATATAACCTCAAAGAAGAGACAAAAATACCTTAATATATTGAATGAATGAGTAGATGTGTTTCAATTAGGTAGCAATAAGCTATGGGCTTCATGGGCAGGAAGGTACATTTCAACTCTCTAAGTAGTGAAAAATTCCATTGTGCTGCTAATTACCTATTTAATTCTTTGAATACCAATGTGCAATTAACATTACAAATAATCAAGGTTAAAATATAATTAATGCAAGCATGATTTAGTTATAATTAAACTAATTACACAGATATGGAGTATAATAAGGGACTTGCAGACCATTATTTGTATGTAAATTTATTCTTCTTTTCAAGAGTAGTTATTTGAATTTCATTTTCCAATTATTTTACAAATGATGAAATAGAATTACAAAGGAGAGAGTCAGTCTTCCAGGGATGAAGAAATAAACCTAATTTTGCTTTATAAGTTAAAATTCTTTTGTCTACATGTACTTGTAAATAGAGAAGTTAGAATTTTTTTTTTCAAAACCTACCTCCAAATTCAACAAAAATATCTTACTTCTTCTATGACTGCAGAGAAAAATCAAGGAAACACTTGAGAGAGATTCAATCCCATACAGCAGGATTTCCTTTCAGAGTAAGTAGTATCACAACTCTCTTTACACATACCAACCTCAAACACTTGCTCAACTAATAAATTTTCTCTACTTTCTGTTCTCAAACATAATTAGCTCTTAATGTTGAGTTTTCACCTATTGACATAGATTAACCCAAGTAAAACTGCATTATCTGCCGACAGACAGAAACAGATATAGCATGTAGCATTTGGAGCAAGATAGATTTGATTTCAGGTCTGCAATTTTCTTCATATAAGTTAGTTGCAGTTAAATGACAACAGCATGTCTGTTTCTGCACAAGGTGGATTTTATGTGGTATAGCATTGAACCTTCATTTAAACATTTGAGTTATTATTTCTAGTATATGGATGAAGAAATGACTAGAGGAGAATGTCGAGAGAATAAAAAAGGGAAATTCTAAGAAGTAAAAGAGATAACTAAGCACAAAGTGACACTTGTGATACATTCTAATTCTATCAGAATGAAGTCAGAATGATACAAGGAAACAAATACATGAAAACCTAATCTGTCACTTTCTGAGGACAGCTGAAAACCAATTGATTATTGTGAAAACTGGGTAAATAAATTCTGTCTCTTTTCCTGTATGAACTGTACCTCTGAGTAGCCAAATAAAAGACAGTTAAAGCATCTCTGTACAAAATTATCCAAACTAGTAAATGAAAACAAAAAGACTAGGTTAAAACATGACCATTTTGCAATGGATGAATTCACCTAAGCATTAAACATCAAAACTGCTAAAAGCAAAAAAAAAAAGACTAAAGACCAGCTATTATGTGCCTATTTTTTAGTTTTATATTTTAATATTTATTATTTTTACACAAGGTTATGAGATTGGCTAATTTTTGTATTTTTGGTAGAGACAGGGTTTCCCCATGTTTCCCAGACCGGTCTCAAACTCTGGGCTCAAGCAATTCGCCCGCCACAGCCTCCCAAAGTGCTAGGATTACAGGCATGAGCCACCTCACCTGGCCCAGACATTATGTGCCTCTTGATGAAAGAGAACATCATCTCCTGTTTAGTCATGCCAAAGGATTGAACCTGCGTCTAACTAAACCTCTGAATCCAGCTGCAATTGCAAGAAACAGAACAAATGAACATATTAAATTCCATCATCAGTATGCAGTCAGCAAAGTTTGTAGGCCAACTCACCATGTCCAACAGTTCAGGTTCTTCGACAGAGAGTTTGTAAAGAAATGAAAGGAATGGAGAAAGGACCTGTGAATTGAGTAACTTAAAGGCCCTATCAAGTATCTTACAAACATGCAAGATTAAACTATGGTGTCTAGGAATAGACTCTTGCGTAATGAATTCAAAAAAAATCATTTAAATGGAAGAGGTTGTATTTGGAATGGAGTACATAGAATGACTTATAAGTTAGCTACCAAAGTTCTACTTCTTGTCCTGAGTTTTGTTTACAAGATTGCCTTTAATAATACATTAAGTTGTATTAAAAACAAAAAAGATGCAAATAAGAGTTAACCTCAACAGGGATGTGATTAGATGGAATTTATGGGTTGGTGGTCTGGTTCTGTTTCTTGAGGTAGGTACAGATTATATAATTATATTCATTTTATGAAAAGTCATTGGATGTTCTTTTTCATATGTAAATTAAACTTCAAAAAAGTCTTTAAAATTATTTTGTAAAAATATTGAAGGAAGAAATAAGATAGGCTGGGCGCGATGGCTCACACCTGTAATCCCAGCTCTTTGGGAGGTCGAGGTGGGTGGATCACCTGAGGTCAGCAGTTCGAGACCAGCCTAGCCAACATGGTAAAACCCCATCTCTACTAAAAATACAAAATGTAGTCGGGTGCAGTGGCATGCGCCTGTAATCCCAGCTACTCAGGAGGCTGAGGCAGGAGAATCACTTTAACTCAGGAGGCAGAGGTTACAGTGAGCTGAGATCGCACCACTGCACTCCAGGCTGGGTGCTAGAGCAAGACTCCACCTCAAAAAAAAAAAAAAAAAAGGAAAGAAAGAAAGAAAAAAATAAGATAATGAGTATCTGAAAAAAAGCCTTCTAAAGTTTGATAAAAATACTATATTAAAATCATATATGTCATTGTTAAATACAGTGAGTTCTAAGTTTCTCTTCAAAGTATCAGTATGTCAGTATGTTCAGTTCTATGACCTTCATTTTAAAGTTTAACTTCCTTGTTCTCCTCATCTCCTTCCCCTAGTTTCAGTAAACAACCTCCCCACCAGTTGTAATCAGTAGTTCACAACTGTTTCCCTGGTCATCTGCTCAGTCCTGAGTCACCCCTGGTCACCTGCTCCATCCTGAGTCACTCCTGATCACCTGCTCTGTCCTGAGTCACCCCTGATCACCTGCTGCAACCTGAGTCACCCTTGGTCACCTGTTCTGACCTGAGTCACATTTAGTCATTTGTTCTGTAACCGTCTTTCCCACCAGAACTGCTCATCCCACCACTCTGGCTCGTAACCCTGCTCTCTTTAAAATAGCCAGTAGGAATTAGCTTAGACTGTGTGGTCCAACCCTAATCAATAGGGGAATGACACAGCAGTAGGGGCTACCTGCGTCAGGGATAAAAACTCCTTCCCCTCCCTTGTTCAGGTGTGCTCTCGCCATTGCTCCATCCGTGAGATGCATCCTTCTATAGAAGTAAAATTGCCTTGCTGAGAAAATTCATGTTCGAGTGCTACTTCCTTTGTGGCACTGAAAATGTATTTCTAACATCATTTAGAGAATAACAACAATACTATGATTTATTACATTTTTAGGATCAAGGTAAAAGCTGTACAAAAAGCATATTGGTAGTCCTCATAATTTGATTTTTTATTTTAAGATGAAAAACACAAAAAACACTTAAATCAAAAAGTTAGAAATAAAACAACAAAACTAGATTGAGAAAAGCATGGTGGGGGATTAAGAAGAATGACAAAGTTTGATAAATTTGAAAAGCAAAAATAATTTGAATTTCTAAATAAATTAATATTTCATCCTTTTAAAAATAAAAGTCAGAATCTGGAAAATATAACTTATAGAAATAAAACACAAATATACAGACACAGGTATAGGAAGGAAATACAAATTTTAGGAGAACCATAGTTATAATCCTATGTAAGTAATTTGCAATTTTAAATTAAATTAATGAGTTTCTAAGGAAACACAAATTGTCAAAATTACAAAAATGCAAAATAGTTAATAGCAAAAATTGAAAATGATGTTTTCAACAAATTAATTTTTCTTATGAATAATAAATATAAAATCTATATAGACTATTAGCATATGAAATTTAACAAAAATATTAAAAATCTAACAAAAATAAAATTTATTATGGAAAGCTAAGGATAGGTGGATAATCAACTACCTCTTATTTATAACAAATTTGTCAAAAGGAAAAGAACTATAAAATACATGCAACTTTATAAATGTTGAAGTTATAATTTTTTTTTTTTTTGAGATGGAGTCTCACTCTGTCACCCAGGCTGGGGTGCAGTGGTGTGATCTTGGCTCACTGCAACCTCCGCCTCCAGAGTTGACGTGATTCTCCCACTTCAGCCTCCTGAGTAGCTGGGATTACAGGCACACACCACCACGCCCACGTAATTTTTGTATTTTTAGTAGAGATGGGGTTTCACCATGTTGGCCAGGCTGGTCTTGAACTTCTGACCTCAGGTGATCCTCCCACCTCGGCCTCCCATAATGCTGGGATTACAAGTGTGAGCCACTGCACCTGGCCTTAAAGTGATAAATTTAAAATATTCTTGTAAGAACTTTTTATAAAATTGCCAACAAAATAATGTCTACATTAGATGAAAATTTGTAGATAATTTTCAATCCATCATTTCATAAATAGAAATATTACCATTAAATGAGAAAATGCATTGCCATTTAACATTGTTTTGATAGTTCTAAGGAAAGCAATAAGGAGAATTAGAATCAGAGATGTTACCATAGAGGGAAAGGAGGCAGGACTAGCCTGCAGCTCCTGCTCAGACAGCTGCATGTGAAGACTCATATCGTGAACTTTTGCTACAAGAATTACCCTAGGAACATACCAGGAAAGCTGAGAGAATCCACAGACCCTTTGAAGGAACTGGATCACTGCTGCTGGCTCAATGAGACATCGGAAAACCATGAGTCCATTTGCTTTCTCAGCAGGAAGGCTGAGTTCTCTGGGGCAAGTTCTCAGCCCTGGTCACCAACTGCCCAGAAATTGACTTGATGCTGTTGGGAGGGCCACGGTGGGAGTGAGACCTGTCTTTAGGACTGCAGGCTGTATGGCAGCGGGGTAAAGCCTGTGACTGCCGACTTACCCCACTTCCCTGGCAACCTGTGTGACTCAGCAGAGGCAGCCATAATCCCCTGAGGAACATAAATCCACTGGCCTGAGAACCACACACCCACCCCCACTGCCACCACAGCAAGCCCCACCAAAGGAGAGTCTGAGCTCAGACACACCTAACTCTGCCCCCATCTGATGGTCCTTCTCTACCTGCCCTGGTAGCTGAAGATAAAGCACATAATCTCTTGGGAACTCTATGGCCCCACCCACCACCTGATCCTTCTTCCACAAGGGCAGCCGATACACTCTTGAAAGCGCCACCTCCTGGCTGGAGGCCAACCAATGCAAAACCAGCACACTAAACAAAAATACAACCAAGGAACCTCAGAGTCCACTTCATTCCCCTGCTACCTCCACCTGAGCAGGTGCTGGTATCCACGGCTGAAAGACCTGAAGATGGATCACATCACAGGACTCTTTGCAGACACTCCCCAATACCATCCTGGAGCCTGGTAGCTCTGCTGGGTGGCTAAACACAAAAGGGTAAAAACAATCACTACAGTTGGGCTCTCAGGAAGCCCCATTCCTAGGGCAAGGGGAAGAGCACCACATGAAGGGAGCACCCTGTGGGACAAAAGAATCTAAACAGCAGCTAGAGTCCCAGATCTTCCCTCTGACATAGTCTACCCAAATGAGGAGGAAACCAGAAAAACAATTCCGGTAATATGACAAAACATAATTCTTTAACACCCCTAAAAGATCGTATCAGCTCACCAGCAATGGATCAAAACCAAAACAAAATCTCTGAATTGTCAGAAAAATAATTTAGAAGGTCAATTATTAAGCTAACCAAGGAGGAGCCAGGGAAAGGTGAACTCTAACTTACATAAATCAAAAATATAATACAGGACATGGAAGGAAAAATCTCCAGTGTAATAGATACCATAAATTTTTTAAAATCACAACTTCTGGAAATCAAGGCACACTTAGAGAAATGCAACACGCACTGGAAAGTCTCAGCAATAGAACTGGAAAAGCAGAAGCAAGAACTTCAGAGCTCAAAGGCAAGACTTTCTAATTAACCCAATTCATCAAAGACAAAGAAAAAAGAATTTTAAAAAATGAACAAAGCCTCCAAGAAGTTTGGGATTATGTTAAGCATCTAAACCTAAGACTAATTGGTTTTCCTGAGGAAGAAGGGAAATCTACAAGTGTGGAAAACATATATGAGGGAATAATCAAGAAAAACTTCCCTGGCCTTGCTAGAGATCTAGACATTCAAATACAAGAAGCTCAAAGAACACCTGGGAAATTCATTGAAAAAAGATCATCACCTACGTTTTAAGGAACCCTCAAAACCATGCAAATAAGCACATAGTTATCAGGTTATCTAAAGTAAAGACAAGGGAAAGAATCTTAAGAGCTATGAGGCAAAAGCATCAGGTAACCTATAAAGGAAAAGCTATCAGAATAACAGCAGATTTCTCAGAAGAAATCCTGAAAGCTAGAAGGGATCAGGGTTCTATTTTTAACCTCCTTAAACAAAGCAATTATCAGCCAAGAATTTTGTATCCAGCAAATCTAAGCTTCATGAATGAAGGAAAGATACAGTCTTTTACAGACAAACAAATGCTGAGAGAATTCGCCACTACCAGCCCCACTCTACAAGAACTGCTAAAACAAGCTCTAAATCTTAAAACAAATCCTCAAAATACACCAAAATAGAACCTCTTTAAAGCATAAATCTCACAGGACCTATATAACAATAACACAATGAAACAGACAAACAAACAAGACATTCAGGCAACAAATAGTACTAACATTGAATGTAAATGGCTTAAATGCTCCACTTAAAAGATACAGAATGGCAGAATAGAGAAGAATTCATCAACCAAATTTCTGCTGTCTTCAGGAGACTCATCTAACACATAAGGATACACATAAGCTTAAGGTAAAGGGGTGGAAAGAGATATTCCATGCAAATGGACACCAAAAGCAAGCTGGAGTAGCAATTTTTATATCAGACAAAACAAACTTTAAAGCAACTGCAGTTAAAAAAAAGATAAAGAAGGACATTATATAATGACAAAAGGACTAGCCCAACAAGAAAATATCACAATCCTAAACATATATGCACCTAACAATGGAGCTCCTAAATTTATAAAACAATTACTACTACACCTAAAAAATGAGACAGATAGCAACACAATGATAGTGGAGGACTTTAATACTCCACTGTCTGCACTAGTCAGGTCACCAAGACAGAAAGTCAACAAAGAAACAATGGACTTAAACTATACCCTAGAACAAATGGACTCAACAGATGATTACAGAACATTCATGTGCTACAGAATATACATTCTATTCATTAGCACATGGAACATTCTCCAAGATAGACCATATGATAGGACACAAAACAAGTCTGAGTAAATTTAAGAAAATCACAATTATATTAAGTACTCTCTCAGACCACAGTTGAATAAAATGGGAAATCAACTCCAACAGGAACCCTCAAAACCATGCAAATACATAGAAATTAAATAACCTACTCCTGAATGATCATTGGGTCAACAATGAAATCAAGATTAACATTCAAAAATTCTTTGAACTGAATGATAATAGTGACACAACCTGTCAAAACCTCTGGGATACAGCAAAGGCAATGCTAAAAGGAAAGCTCATAGCCTTAAATGCCTACATCAAAACATCTGAAAGAGCACAAACAGCCAACGTAAAGTCACATCTCAAAGACTTAGAGAAACAAACCAAACTCATACCCAGCAGAAGAAAAGAAATAATGAAGATCAGAGCAGAATGAAATGAAATTTAAACAAAAAAAATGCAAAAGATAAATGAAACACAAAGCTGGTTATCTGAAATGACAAATCAAATTGATAGACCATTAGCAAGATTAACCAAGAAAAGAAGAGAGAAGATTCAAATAAGCTCAATTACAAATGAAAAAAGAGATATTATTACTGATACTACAGAAATAAAAAATACTATTCAATTCTAGTATAAACACCTTCACACACATAAATTAGGAAACCTGAAGGAGATGAATAAATTCCTGGAAATATATAATCCTCCTAGATTAAACCAGGAAGAAACAGAAACTCTGAATAGACCAATAACAAGCAGCAAGATTGAAATGATAATTAAAAAAATTACCAACAAAAACAAATCCAGTACCAGAGGAATTTACAGCTGAATTCTATCAGACATTCAAAGAAGAATTGGGACCAATCCTATTGACACTATTCTACAGGATAGAGAAAGAGGGAATCCTCCCTAAATCACTCTATGAAGCCAGTGTCACCCCAATACCAAAATCAGGAAAGGACATAACAAAAAAAGAACACAACACAACACACCAATATCCCTAATGAACATAGATGAAAAAATCCTTATAAAAATACTAGCTAACTGAATCCAAAGCATATCAAAAAGATAATCCACCATGATCAAATGTGTTTCATACCAGGGATGCAGGGTTGATTTAACACATGCAAGCCAATTAATGTGATACACCACATAAACAGAATTAAAAACAAAATTCACATGATCATCTCAATAGATGCAGAAAAAGCATTTGACATAATCCAGCATTCTTTATGATTAAAACCCTCAGCAAAATAGGAATAGAAGGGACATAACTTAAGGTATTAAAAGCCATCTATGACAAACCCATAGACAATATTATACTGAATGGGGACAAGCTGAAAGCATTCCCCCTGAGAATTGGAACAAGACAAGGATGCCCACTTTCAGCACTTCTATTCAACATAATACTGGAAGTCCTAGCCAGAGCAATCACACAGGAGAAAAAAATAAAGAGCATCCAAATTGGTAAAGAGGAAGTCAGACTGTCACTGTTTGCTGATGATATGATTGTATACGTAGAAAACCCTAAAGACTCATCCAGAAAACTCCTAGAACTAGTAAATAAATTCAGCAAGGTTTCAGGACACAAAATTAATGTACACAAATCAGTAGCTCTGCTATACACCAAAAGCAACCAAACGGAGAATCAAATCAAGAGCTCAACATCTTTTACAACAGCCGCAAAAAAAAAAAAAAAAAAAAAATTAGGAATATACCTAAACAAGGAGGTGAAAGACCTCTACAAGGAAAAGTAAAAAACACTGCTGAAAGAAATCATAGATGATACAAACAAATGGAAACACATCCCATGCTCATGGATGGGTAGAATCAATATTGTGAAAATGACCATACTGCTAAAAGCAATCTACAATTTCAGTGGAATTCCCATCAAAATACCACCATCATTCTTCACAGAACTAGAAAAAAAAATCCTAAAATTCATATGGAACCAAAAAGAAGCCCACATAGCCAAAGCAATTGCTAAGCAAAAAGAACAAACCTGGAGGCATCACATTACCTAACTTCAAACTATGCTATAAGGCCATAGTCACCAAAACAGAATGGTACTTGTATAAAAATAGGCACATAGACGAATGGAACAGAATCAATAACCCAGAAATAAAGCCAAATACTCACAGCCAACTGATCTTTGACAAAGCAAACAAAAAAACATAAAGATGGGAAAGGACACCATATTCAACAAATGGTGCAGGGATAATTAGCAAGCCACATGTTGAAGAATGAAACTGGATCCTCATCTCTCACCTTATACAAACATCAACTCAAGGTGGATCAAAGACTTAAATCTAAGACCTGAAACCATAATGATTCTAGAAGATAACATCGGAAAAACCCCTCTAAACATTGGCTTAGGCAAAGACTGCATGACCAAGAACCAAAAAGCAAATGCAACAAAAACAAAGATAAACAGATGGGACTTAATTAAGCTAAAAAGCTTCTGCACAGCCAAATAAGCAATCAGCAGGGTTAACAGCCAGCCCACAGAGTGGGAGAAAATCTTCACAATCTATACATCTGACAAAAGACTAAGATCCAGAATCTACAAAGAACTCAAACAAATCAGCAGGAAAGAAACAAAAAATACCATCACAAAGTGGGCTAAGGACATGAATAGACAATTCTCAAAAGAAGATAGACAAATGACTAACAAGCATATGAAAAAATGCTCAACATCACTAATGATCAGGGAAATGCAAATCAAAACACAATGTGGTACCACTTCACTCCTGCAAGAATGGCCATAATCAAAAAATCAAAATAATAGATGTTGGCATGGATGTGGTAAAAAGGGAACACTTTTACACTGTTGGTGGGAATGTAAACTAGTACAACCACTATAGAAAACAGTGTGGAGATTCCTTAAAGTACTAAAAGTAGGTCTACCATTTGATCCAGCAATCTCACTACTAGGTATCTACCCAAAGGAAAAAAAGTCATTATATGAAAAAGATATTTGCGCACACGTTTATAGCAGCATAATTTGCAATTGCAAAAATTTGAAACCAGCTCAAATGCCCATCAATCAACAAGTGGATAAAGAATATATATGTATATATGTGTATATATACATCTATATATGTATATGTGTATATATATACATATATATACACCATGAAACACCTCTCAGCCACAAAAAGGAACTAAATAAATAATGGCATTGGCAGCCACCTGGATGGAACTGGAGACTATTATTCTAAGTGAAGTAACTCAGGAATGAAAAACCAAGCATTCTTATGTTCTCACTATAATTGTAAGTTAAGCTATTAGGACACAAAGGCATAAGAATGATACAATGAATTACAAGAATGATACAATGAATTTTGGGGACTTGGGGAGAAATGTTGGGAGAGGAGTGAGGGATAAAAGACTACACAATTAGGTACTGTGTACACTGCTTGGGTGAGGTGCACCAAAATCTCAGAAATCACCACTAAAGAACTTATTCATGTAACCAAACACCACCTGTTCCCCAAAAACCTATTGAAATAAAAAATAAAATTTAAAAAGGAGACATTACTGTAGAGAAAGTGTAGAAAACTGTTTCATTAATTACTGATAAGAGCATTCTCTTCTAATAGACTGCAAGGATTAATTAAAATACTTTCACAAATGAATTATATTTATTTTAGCAAGTGATTGTAAAAAAAAAGAGATTGTCAAATGTTAGTTCTTTCCAAATTAATTTATAAATGCAACATAAAGTCAATTAAAATTCCAGTGGGAAATTGTAGACACAATCCTTTACAGTTCTTTCTCTACATCCACAAAACAATGTTTAATCGATTTTTATTTGCCATATTCATTGCTACAAAACTAGGGTCAAGAACATATAACCTCTCTTAAAAATAAATATCTCTGCGGATCAGAAACTGAACAGAAAGCTGGAGGTCGCATCTCAACCTGTTGGCTGGTGGGTGCTGGGTTTAAATTCATAAAGACAGCTATGAATTTGACTACCCATCAAGTTACCATGAGTTTGCTGTAGTGGGAAAAAAGAAAGATAGATGCCTGGGGCCTTGTAACACAGTGCTGAAAAAAGAATGGGATACGAGGACATCCATATTAGAAGGCACAGCACAGGAGTGGTATGTGGAGAAAGAATCACCAGAAACTGGCTATGAAATTAAAGGTCTAAGATTTTAGTTTGTGATATTGAGCCCAGTTTGCTGTTAGGGTAAACTTGATAGCACACAAATCAAAGAGCAAATTGAGCACAGAGAGGTTTAGAGCAGGGGATTTCTTCTTGCAGTAGAGAGAAACATCATTAACATTAGTCCTGATCAGAGCAGGGGAAAAAGGAAGACACACTACCACACAGGTGCAGAAAGGGGCGTGAAGGCACCATGCCCTGAATGTTCCCAACCAAGCACACAGTTTAGAAGGAGGTGAAGAATCAGGTGCCCTGTGAAATGGGAGTGAAAGGGCCCAGGTAAGAGTGACATAAAGGAATGCATGAGTGTATGTTACCCACAGAGCCTGCAGGGGTCATCTGGCCTCAGGCAGCCTCTGAGTGTGCAGGGTGCCCAGGGACCTCACATATGTTAAAGCAAGGGGAATAAACATCTTGCCTACTCCCCTAGAGGCCGCTTTCTTGGTTTTTAATGTGTTCACTGCTCCCACCCTGAAGGAGTCATGACCACCTGAAAGAGGAAGTCTGGGTGGTAAAAAGAGGGAAACCATCTGGCCACTTAGGCTGATGGGAACATTTGAAGTTTTATCCAGAGGAGAATAAAGAAGAACCACCCCTTGGCCATTTCCTGCTCCCCTGAGTTCCATCTGCAGAGAGGAGCTGGGCACTTCCAATCCACTCTGATACCTCCCAGGGACGTCTGCCTTTGGCTGCTCTGTGATAAGACCTCCAAGGCCCTTTACTCCAGCTGGAAGTACTGAGCTCAGTTTATTCATATTTGGAAACTTTTCCCCACATCAGAGGAGTGGTAATTGGAAGGTAAATTTGGAGGAAAATGATGTTTTCAAATTTTATTCCACGGGACTGAGGGAAAATGCTGGGGGTTCTCTGGGCTTATTATCTCTTTAAGCAACAAAAATGATGAAATCTGTATCTTACCCCATGGGAGTCCTGATGATAGCATGTCCTGAAGTTAGAGAAACTTCACCATTCAGCATTTTGAAAGTCGTGCTCTTCCCAGCTCCATTCACCCCTAGAAGTCCAAAGCACTAAGAGGAAACAAAGTTAAGTAAAGCACATTCAATCAAACAAGCTAAATAAATAGAACAAGTTAAATAAAATCAAAATTATATCAGAAACAGCACTTGCTTTTAGCCAACTTTGAGTTGACTTTGCTGGTTTGTGTTATTTATGGAGTTTTAAAATGACAATAGTGTATAAAACACTGTATAGATTACAAAGTCCTCTCAAAATCATCATGGCACTTGAATGGTATAAGAATTTCAGCAGTAATTTACAGACAATAAATTCATGTGTGGAAAACTCAAGAGGATGAGAAGTAAATGCCAACTACCCCCAAATTATGCAGAGATAATATAATATTCTTAGGAAGTCACATCATTATAATTATTATTCTCCTAATTTCATTTTTGTGTATTTTAAAGTATTTTCTTAAAAGATTCCATCTTCTACTGTATATACATATGTGTTTGTCTGTGTATGTGTATGTGTGTGTGTAGTGCTCACAGCTTTCTTATATATCTTCTTTTTCCATTGAAGAGCCTGTAAATTCCTGCAAATTCACTCCTAACTCAGAGTCTAAGCTAATCTTGATATTAATTAAAAGAGAAACTCTCGTTCTATATTCTGACATTGAGCATAGAGTCAACTCAGTTCTTGATCAAATCTCGCCTTACAGCCAATGTGAAAAATGGCCTTCTTGCTGTCTTTTCTACACTTTGTCTCTATCATGTGCCTCAGCATATACTGTGCCTGAGAGTCCACCTTGGTGACAGTGTCTCTCTGGTTCTGTCAATCTCCTTCCAAGACAGCTGTTTTCTGATGGCTAGGAGCTGCGATCTATGGATACAAACTGGCTTCCTGGCTCCTCAAATCTTGGAAAGTGACTGCTTCTGGATTTTCTGCCACCAAGCCCCACCTAACCATCACCTCACCCTATTTTGGACCTCTGAATTTCACAACCCCATGAGTTGCCATCTGCTTCAATTACCATGTTTTCCCCGCTTTCCCTGCATCTCTCCCACCATTTGCAATATGAGTCCGTCTCCCCCAGGCCTACCCTGTCCATGTTCCAGGGTACACCACCATCAGCCTATCCAAATTCTACCAACGCTTTTAGGCTTAGCTATAAACCACATTTTTAATAAAGCTCTCCCCACATACCCTGTCCTCCCACCTTTCCTTCCCTGCCTGCACAGCCACCCTCTCTGGACTGACAGCATTGAAGACAATACCACTCATGCACCTTTCAGTTCTTTTTAGAAAGTACTTTAATATATACAAAAATGAAATTGGGAGGATAACAATTATTATGATGCTGTGACTTCCAAAAAATATTACATTATTATATCACAGTCCCTGCCTTGGGACAATGCTTATGCTCCCATGTAACATAGTACATGCTTATGATATTTTGTTTCCTAACTGATTATTAATTTCTAGATGGAGAAGGATATACAGTCAATGATAGTTCAGGCAATGATGAACTGCATATACAATGGTCATCTTACAAGATGACAATACCATATTTTAACTGTACCTTGTCTATGTTTAGATACACAAATACTTGCAATTGTGTTACAATTGCTTACAGTATTCAGCACATACTGTATAGATTTGTAGCCAAGGAGGAATGGGCTTACCATACAGCCTAGGTGTGTCGTAGGCTATACCATGTAGGTTTGTGAAAGTATATTATATAATGAAATCACCTAATGACACATTTCTCAGACAATATCCCCATTGTTAAACAACACAGGACTGTATCTTAGTCATTTCTGTATTTTCCACAGACTTTTGCATAGCACTCTCCATCTAGGTAATTAAACTGTAATGCTTATAAGAGCTTAAGATAATAAAATCTAACTTTAAATGGCATCTTGGACCATTTAAGATACCTGGAGCATCATTCTGTCAATGTTTTACAAGTTTATCTCTTAGCCCTGTTGGGACTCAGAAAATAATACCCCAAAGTGAAGGCCCCAAAGGCAGCCTCAGAATCAAAAGTTTTACTCTGACCTTTTCCTGCCCTGCTGTCTCCGGCCCCTCCTTCTCCCCTGAGGCTGGTCATAGAAACTAGAACCTCTTTTCCCCAAAGCCACCATAAAACCAAAAATATTACCCTAACTTCTCCCCTTTTACATATTTTTCAGTACAAAAATTACCCCTAAAGAAGTTATCTGTCCTACCTTGTTTGACTGTAGGTCATAAGACAGACCTGCATTCCAGAGAGGGTCCTGCCCCACACCCACAAGGAAGAAACAGAAAACCAAACACTGCACATTCTCACTTATAAGTAGGAGCTGAACAATGAGAACACGTGGGCACAGGGAGGGGAACAACACACACTGGGGCCTGTCAGAGGGATGGTGGGAGGGAGAGCATCAGGATAAATAGCTAATGCATGTGGGATTTAATACCTAGGTGATGGGTTGAGAGGTGCAGCAAACCACCACAGCACACATTTACAACTATGTAACAAACCTGCACATTCTGCAAATGTATCCCAGAACTTAAAATAAAATTTTTAACAATAAAAATAAAACATCATAAACATGTAGATAATAACTCAAAAAAAAAAAAAAAAAAAAAAAGCGCATCTAAACAGAGAGGCCTTGCTGGGCTTCCCCTCTCAGCCTAATAGCATTAATTGGGTCATACTCTTTTTGTCCAACCATATTTCTACATGGCTGTCCGTACTTGGTTGAACCTAAGCATAAAAACAGACAGTTTCCCTGTATCTTTGGGTCTTCATTCTGAAGGCTCTCGTATCACGTAAAACTATAATCAAATAAATTCATATGCCTTTTTCCTGTTACTCTGCCTTTTGTCAGTTGATTTTCAGTGAATCTTGGCCCTCCCACACCCCTTTGCCTCAAACTACTATGGAGAGGTACCGGCAAAACTATAATAATCATGATTTTTAAAGCAAGGGTACAAAAAATAGTTCAATAAGATGGGTAAGATTGCATAGCCAGTCTTAGAGCAGAAGCTAACAACTACTAAAAAAAAAAATCCTTTCTTAACATTTTGTTCTAATCTACCAGAAATCATAGTTCAGAGAGTAAGAATATGCCTGCATTACTTCAGATTGATCTCTCGGCTTCTCTTTACCTCAGAATACACATATCTGAGACACCTACTGTCAGATCACAAGTAGAATATAGATACCAATCAGATAACAATATAACCTATTTTGAATTTCTCAGGAGCTGGGAACCGTATGAATGCAAGGTGCTCTTTTATTTTTAACAGTTAATTGAAGGCAATCACTTCCAGAACTGATTTCCCTTTACACATTAAGCATAAATCAGGAACAATTTATATGGCTTCTGTCAGTTCTGATTAAACATTATAACTAGAATTAATGTCTTACCTGTGAACAAAAATTCCTGAGCTATTGCTAGGTGGATGAGTGTTCTTTACCTTTTCTGAGTAGCATTTTGCCAGATGGGCTTAATTGGACACTTAGAGTACTGATGTCCCAGTAAGAGATAAAAGTGGTTCCTTAATTAGATTCAAAAAAATATTTGCTCAACAAAAAGTTATCCCATAGCCCAAGTCATAATTAAAACTATGCAATCACATGAAATTTTTAACATTATAAAACAAAATAAATCCTATCAATCAGCCAAGTTTTTACTATGAAATAGTCAACAGACCCTCTATTTGGTTCTGCTCCTACTGATTTTGTAGGAATTTCTAAAATTTGAAGGCTATTTTTGGCTCTGATTTCAAATATTCTGAGACTAACACAAGCAGATCAGCTACTAGAGTTGTACAGGTTCACAACAGAAGAAGATTAAAAATAGAAGCTTCATTACCTCTCCTTTTGGTATGCCCAAACTAATATCTTGCACAGCAATAATATTCTGGAAAAAGCGTCGATAATGTTTACTAAGGTTGTATAACACAAGAATGTCTCCATTGGTCCTTCCTTCAAACACTCTCTTTTCCTCTTTTTCAACATCTGTATCCTTAGAAGATTTGACTGTGCCTTGGAGAGTAGAATGACCCCTGGGAAGATGAAATCAGAGTGAATTCACACCTAGCAAATGATACCAGAATAGTCTAGAAGAGGCAAAAAGGTCAGAGATTTGTAAAAAATTGAAGATATCACCTTCGGACTTCTGGGCAGTCAGCTTTGTCCAGAGCACCCCAGTTCTGCCATCCTGATTATCAGGCAAGAATCCATTTTTTATTGTCTAACATAAATGAAATATATACATTCCTAAAAGATACTGAAATGAATTGGCACTAAACTAGAGCTAGTTTTTAATTTTATGAATAAGATCATGCCAGATTAATTGTACTAAATGTTAAAATAGCTTATCACAAAATTATTATAAGGCATTTACTTATTAAGTGCTTTTTACTAAACAAGTCATTTAATAATGTAGATTGTATATAAAAGTACTGAAACATTGTAAGTTTATAGTATATGTTGAATCGCATAAAAGGATTATATAACCAGCACTTTGCACAATACTTTGCAAAAAGTATTCAGTAAGTATCTATCAGAGGAATGCAAATTTAATTTTCAACTCTTATTTTCTCTAAATCTGAGCTGCTCACTTTTTAATCTTCTTTCTAATTTGCAATCTGACACATTTAACTTTCCAATAAATTTCAATTTCCCCTATAAACTATAATATGCCAACATTTTAATTATTATATTTAATCATTTAAAATATATTTAATGATTATATTTTAATGATAACGACTGAGTTAGTATCATAACCAACATCAATTACCTGGCTTTGACAGTGTAAATTGCCATGTAATATATTATTATATTATCATTGGGAGAAGCTGGGTGTAAGGTACATAGCAATGTTCGATAATAATTTTACAACTTCTTCTGATTATTAAACTATTTCAAAATAAAAAAGGTATTAAAAATAAAATCCAATATCCATGGCAAGCTCCCAGTATCCCCAGCAACTTTTCTTTATTATTTTTCCACATATAAAATCACCATTTGACAATATATAATTTATTCTACAGAGAACATAGACGATGAGAAAAATATAGCTAGATACTCAGAATTCTATCTTACATGACCTCATTTATATAACGTTCAAAGGCAAGAAAAATGAATCAATAAAAATAAAAATAAGGATTGCAGTTACCTAGGGTGCAGCTATTGATGGAGAAGTTTATGAGAGGCCATCTGAAGTGTTGGCAGTATTCAGTTTATTAGTGAGAGGGGGCTACATCAATGTGTTCAATTTGTGAAAATTCATTGAATTTTACACTTTTCTGTTTGAATGTTATTTCCCTCTCCCAGATGAAGGTGTGTTTATTGACCTTTCACCCTATCCTGGACTTTTGGAAGTCTTCCCACTCCAACAGGAAGTTGTGCCACTGTATTCCCTCCTGCCTGGCAGAGTAGTATTCACAGTAACCCACATCAGCTTGCTCATTCTCTCCTCAGGAGGATTACCTGGGAAGCTTTATGAACAGCTCCTGGGTCTCATCCCCAGAGCTTCTCATTGCAGAGTTCTAGGGAGGGGCCCAGGTGTGCACATTCATTTAAATCTCTTCAAGTAATTCTGGTTGGTGGAGACAATTGACTGAGCTTACTTCTGGTCCACCCACTCACAACAATCCAGTGTCCTAATACAGGAATCCAACTATGCCCAGAAATGTGCCACTTAGTTATCCTCTAACTGAAAATGACTAACAAACGATCCCTGTATTAAATAGGAAGAATTCAGATGGGACCTAGGTATAGCAGAACTTTCCAGATATGCAGCATATCTCATATCTGAACAGTGTGGCTGTTCCAACCCAGCCAGCACCTAGGGTACAGACAGCAAAAGTGCAGCTCTAGGCAGGAGACAAAATAGGCAGGAACTAGGGCTCAGGTCCTAATGGAAACCTGAATTCATGGCAAACAACCCAAGGCCAGCAGCAGGACAGTGGGACAGCTGGACAGGAGTCAGCGCAGGTTAGGGAAGGACAGCAAGGAAGTGGGATCTCAGCACTCATGTCCAGCAGTGGGTGCAGGTGACAGGGGCCCTGCTCAGGCTGGGAAGGCAGGATCTATCCATTCCCAGTTGCACAGGGCAGGGTCTCCCTATTTTCTTGCAAGATTCAATTATGAGTAGCATATCGATACCATAAACCAACATAGATGTGCCCTAATAGAGAAAGAGGGCGTAACAGAAACACGGAGAAGGCATCAGCCCAGCCCCAGAGGCAGGGCAACAAATATCCCTGTGGGATGGGAGGAGGATCACAGACACCTTCACTGAGCAGAAGGCACCACACTTCAGGGGGGCTTGCTAAGAACCTTGGGCTTTACCTTTCAAACAATGATTAGTGGCTTAGTTAGATCTGGGTCTTAAAAGTAAATTGACTGGGTCATGCAGTCATTATGACAGTTATCCATAAAATGGTAGTAGGCAACTAGTGTCTAAATTCACTTAAATTTCTATGCTCTGTAACCTTCATGTAGAGAAAAAAATTGACTCTTTACTGTGGGTAACAAGGATATTATTCTAAAATACAATTCAACTTATACTTACAACTCTAGAAAGTAAAGGTAATACAGATTTTTCTCTTTAAAGAAAAATCTTTTGATACTATAGGAAAATGGAGTACCCTGAAATCTGCCAAGGGGGATCCTACATTACAGTTTTATAAAATAGACTAAACTAGTAAGGGACATCAGAGAACAAATTATGTTTAAAGGGCACTCTGCATTTTACTCCAGGTTCAGTCAGCTATTGGAAATCTGCAGACTCCAGGGTGATGTGGCCAATTCAAAAGCACATTGGGATTTATACTCAAAACGGTGTCTATTTTACTTTATTAAAAGGGGTTATGTAACAAAATATGTCAGGAAATGGCTGAAAGGAAAAATAATTCTATGAAGAGATCACCATAAATTATTAATCATGTGTCTTTATAATCCTTAATAGATTTTCTAGTGACATGGTCTTAATTGGTAATTTCTCCAAAAAGGATCCCTCCCTCAAGTAGAGGTCAGACGGAAATACATAGCCCTTGGAAAGAGCAGGCCAATGAATTCAGGCCACTTGGGTATGGGGGGGAAGCCAACCATTGTGGACCCTACACAGGAAAGCACATTGCTTCCTTATGCAGTTCAAATGTTTTATCTGACAATATTTCAGATATCCTTTCAAGGCCACATTAAATCCTATTTATAGTAGTAGGAATGCATGTGTGTGCATGCATGTGTATAAACCACATTATATATCTACATGTCTACACATGCCCCATGCTACTGACTTTCGACCTCACCTGACAAAGATCAGAGTACAGCAGCATAAGCAACAAGATCCAGCAAAGGACACACAGACATCTGTACTGAATTTTCCTATCTTCCTGCTCCCAGAGTTCTTGGCATTTAGTTGTAAAAATAATGTTATGGTATTAACCAAATTTACCTTAGCTGCTTCAAAGTAACAGAGAAATTCAGCAATTTCAAAGTGAAAATATGTTCTCACTCATAGGTTGGAATTGAACAATGAGAACACTTGGACACAGGAAGGGGAACATCACACACCGGGGCCTGTTGTGGGGTGGTTGGAGAGGGGAGGGATAGCATTCAGAGATATATCTAATGTAAACGATGAGTTAATGGGTGCAGCACACCAACATGGCTCATGTATACATATGTAACAAACCTGCACATTGTGCACATGTACCATAGAACTTAAAGTACAATAAAAAAAATTTTAAAAAAAGAAAATATGCTGAGACAAATAATTGGAAAGATCATCTCACAGTTTGTCACCTTATCCTTTGAAATTTTCCTTCCTGGTGTGGGTGACTGACACCAATCAATGTTTAAAAAATAATAAAATCTTAACGCATTAGAACTATGTATAATGCTGATCAGATATAATTTTTATTTTACAACCTCCAGGATGAATTTTTCTCTTCCTCTCATTTTGCAGGAGTAAGTGCAGCTCGAGGATGAGTCCTTCAGAACCCACCTTGGCCATCGCAGAAGGTCCCAGTGTAGCAGAACCCTCAAGAGGAGAAGTACTGTGCCCTGCGAGGCCAGTTGCACGAAGATCCAGCCCAGAAAGTTCATCTCAAAGGGACTCACATAGGAATCAATGCCGAAGTTGTGGGTCAGGTCATATTTGATCTGATTATAGCAGAGTTCTACCAGTCCTTGACCAAGACAGAATTGAGGAAAAATAGTAAAGACCCACTTGAGGACATCATAGATATTCTGTAAATTCTGCACAGTGAAAAAAAGAAAAAAAATCCAATTAAAAGCTATTCCCCTTTTCATAATATATACCAATAACTTCTTTTTCTCCTTGGTTAGCTCTGTGTTCCAGGTCTTCCCTATCCCAACTATTCACTGATATTCTCAGACAGCCATCAAAACAAAGGTATTTTGTTTAGAGATATTAATTAGATCTACTGGTATTTGCCTTTCAAGGTTTTCTTGCTTGAGAACAGTGATGATTTTTACATCTACTTTTAAGGAAATCACAATGATCTCTACACAAGTATGAACAAAGGTGTTAGCAATATATGAACACTGAGTTAACAAATAATCCATACATAGAAGGGGGATGCAGGTGCACAAACTCACAGAATAACAATCCATAAGTGTTCGATTTAGGATTATGTGAAAATGATAATTATACAAAGAAATAAATTAGAAAACATGAGTTTTTGCTCCCCCACATCCCCCTCGCTCCAACAGGGAGCCTCACCAGTGGGAAAGACAGATGTTCCAGATCTTGTGTTTGAAATCAAAATGTGTCATCATATAAACTGTGATTTGGTAACAATGAAAATGATTAATTAACACTATAATTTGTAAACACAATGGTTAATACTGGTTACACTAGATATTCAGACTTATTGTTCACCACTGTGGAAGATGGTGTGGCAATTCCTCAAAGATCTAGAACCAGAAATACGATTTGACCCAGCAATCTCATTACTGGGTATAAACCCAAAGGAATATAAATCATTCTATTCCAAAGATATGTGCACACATATGTTCACTGCAGCACTATTCACAATAGCAAAGACGTGGAATCAACCCAAATGCCCATCAATGATAGACTGGATAGATGGATACACCATAGAATACAATGCAGCCATAAAAAGGAAGGAGATCATGTCCTTTGCAGGGACATGGATGGAGCAAGAAAGCCATTATCCTCAGAAAACTAATGTAGGAACAGAAAACCAAACACTGCATATTCCCACTTATAAGTGGGAGCTGAGCAATGAGAACGCATGAACACAAGGACAGGAACAACACACACTGGGGCCTGTTGGGGGATGGGGTGGGGGAGGGAGAGCATTACGAAAAATAGCTAATGCATGCTGGGCTTAATACCTAGGTGATGGGTTGAGAGGTGCAGCAAACCACCATGGCACACATTTATCTATGGAACAAACCTGCATATCCTGCACATGTACCCCAGAACTTAAAATATTTTTATTTTTTAAGAAAAAGAGTGATCTGAGAATCCAGTCACCTTTTTTGGTTTCTTTCATTAATTCTATAAGAATTAATGCTACAAAGCTCCATAACCTACAAATGAAAATTTGAAATTATTTGAAATAAACATTTGAATAAGGTTGCTTCCTAAGCAAATAATATCAAAATAAAGAGCAAAGGAAAAGAAAGACCCAAACAAAAGCAATAAGCTGCTTTTAATTACTTGTTACCAATTGATTTAGATCCATTTTCTGGCAAACACTTCATTGCCTGTTGATTTTTTTTTTAACAAGTAAGCAATGCTGTTTATAATTAAAGGTAACAAGGCTTTCCACTTGCCACACTGGTAAAACCTCATGAGTGGAAAGGTTCCTGGTCAGCTTCCTCTTTGGATATGGACAATTCTTCTTCGTTTTTCTTTTGGAGCTAAATCTCACTTCTGTGACTCCACTCCCCAGGGAAGCTCTCTGCTTTCAAGTTCCTCACCAATAGGATTATCTACTGTGAGTCTCTTTTCAGTTTCACCATGATTCATGACTGACATCCTGATGGTTCATGTCATGCTAGAGATCCGATGAGGGAGGAGGGAAATTGTACACTATCTCTACTGATTTCAATTTTCTCCTCAAGCTAAAGCCAATCAATGGTTCTGCAAGTTTTCTCTTTAAAGTGTAGACATATTAATATAAATCAGTGTCAATAATAAATCTGTAAAAATCACCAAAATAGATTATTACCATCACTGAATGCATAATAGATGTTTACAGAGTTCACTGCTTCTATCCAAATATGAAGCACAGTAATAAAAACTAATGTTAGCTATCAGTGGCAAATTTACTAAGTCTCTGAAAGTCCAGCCATGAGGAAGTAGACTCATCCCAATTAAATAGGCATCAGTCCCTGTTTGATTTGAAATGAGAACTGCAGCACATGCTTCAAAACTAGGAGCTCAGTACCTTTTCCAGGTCATTTCTCAGCCCCTGAGCTGGCCAAACATTTGGGAACTACTGAGGAATCAGACTCCATATAAGCAGCAGGGAATCAGGAGAGAATAGTGTGGTCAGAGCTGAGAAAAGAAAACAGAATGAAAAGGATTGCAATAAGGGTGCAGAGGAAAGTGCAAAATCTGAAGTCTGTATCTCCAGGTAGCACTGGGGATGCTGAGGGGCTGAAAGATGTATTAAAGCAGAGGCAAACACCCAGGCAGGCCTCACTAAGGGAGGAGACAGGAGTGAAAGGAATGTGGCAGGACTAATGGGTTCACCTTGACCTAGACACCAGCTGGAGATGACATTTAAGAAATGACTTGCTAATCAGAACGGCCTATTGGAGAGTGGCGTTGACCTCACAAGGAGAAGTTCTTCCTGACCACGGGCCTCAGGCTCAGGAAAGCCCTTGGCTGCCATGCTTGGAAAACAGCAAAATTAAATTTGTTCCAGAAATCCCAGAGAAGAGGGTAGAATCCCGCCAGATCATCATTCAGACATGCTGTGCCCCGAGAGCATGGTCAGCTGTGTTGTGTGGCCCATTCTATCTTGTAGTGTCTGACCCAAACGATGGTGAACATTGAGAGGGCATGTTTCAATGACTCACTCTTCCACCATTCATCAGTAATTCATCAATAAATAGTCTCTGATGAAAATGCTAGGGATGCGGCAGTGAACATCTTCATGGCTCTACCCTCAAGAATGGAGTGGCCGAAACAGAACATTTTTTCGTCAATTGTTGCTAAGCCTAGGCATGGCTTTTATAACGGCAATGTGTTTTTTGTTAATTAGAATCCATTTATCTCTCTGGAGTTTAAAGACAGTGGATACCAATGCATTTCCATTGAATTCCAGTCAGAAAAGCAACAAAAGAGGCATGAGTTAACACCGTCTTTGCACTAGAGGTGCAGAAGTGTAGAGGTGATGCTACAAAGCTACTGACCTTAGCTTTGGAGATGATGGCTAGCAACCGGGGCATAATGGTTATGAGCATGGTACAAAGGCCAAAGATGAAGTTTAGTGAGACATAGGAAATGAAAGCCACGTCCGAACTGGAAAAGATTCTGGACATCAGGTACATCCATGGAAGAGTTGCATATCTGAAAAGTAAAGTGAAAAGTAATGTTTGTTTTACTGTAACATTTACAGTAGTTTTATCTATGGCAGATACATTCTAAGACCTTGGGGTGAATCCCTGAAAATGCAGATATTACTGAATCCTACATATACTATGTTTTTCCCCATACATACAACCTATGATAAGGTTTGATTTATAAATTAGGCACAGTGAGAGATTAAGAACAATGAGTAGTATAAAATAGAACAATTACAGCAATATGCCAGCGTGCCTACTCTAGCACTTTGGGGCCATCTAGTAAAACAAAGGTCCCTTGAACACAAGCACTGCCATGCTGCGACAGTCAATTTGGTAACTCACTGACTCCCAGGTCCAAAGTGAGGATATGCAGGACAAAGGGGAAATTCACGTCTCTGATGGGATAGAGCAAGACAGTACAAGATTTCATCCTGCTACTCAGAACACTGTGCCCTTTAAAACTGATGAATTGTTTATTTCTGGAATTTTCCATTTAATATCTTGAGACCACAGTTGACTGTGGGTAACCGAATTCTCTGAAAGCAAAAATGCAGATAAGGGGACAGCCGTAAGACTGAATTATAGATGCAATTTTATTGGCCCAGCAATTTTTCCTCACTTGGTGAACAGAAATGAACTTTACATAATACATTCCACGGTATTTTTCAAAGACAACACACTCTTCCTGGGGCTTCAGAGGACTCTGCAATGCAATAAAGAACACCGGATGGGGTCACAACACACACACGGGTTGTACGTGGGCCTGAACTTGTCGGCTCTGTGGCCTGGAGAAAGTCGGCTGACTTCTCCAACCTCTCTTCTCCAAAAGGAGCTTCTCTGCTCTGCTTCTCATCAGGAAGGCAGGAATAATACTTATTCATTATATTGAGAATCAAAAGATATCAAGAATATAAAAAGCTGCAGAGCTACGTAAAAAAAATAAGGCCTAAAAATAAAAACTGAAAGCCTCCTTCCAGCATCCACTGCACAGGGGGTACCATCTGTAACTCCTCAGTGTGCCCTAATCTTCCTTTAGTCCCCAGCAAGCCAGGAGACAGCACTGTAACTGTCATCTTACAGGCAGAACAATGGGGATTTGCAGAGTTCAGACACTTGATCGAGCTTTGCAGGTGATAAGTAGATGAACATGGGATTCATTTCCATGTGGCCCCAAAGCTGGGGAGTAAGAAGCATTGCTAAACATTGAACCCTAGAAGCAGTCCCCACATGTGTCAGATGACATCAGGATCTAAGATACCACCCAAATGTCCCTAAAAGGAAAACATCTCATTTTCTTCATTCCGTCTCCTCAATTCTAGAGCCAGGTTTCACTCATGGCAACTTCCCTCATCTCCTTCCTGAAATAATACCACTGCACCCAATAAAGGAAGTACACTTTGAACGATGGTTCCTAATATCAGCAGAGAAGTCACTGATTTTGAATCACAACTTTCCCAAAAGATTCTCATATATCCGGAGCTCCAACAAGTTCTCTGCTCACTCAAGGTAAATGTATCACTGTTTTCTTATGGTGAATAATTGGATTAACCTGAAACACTTCAGTGCCTGCAAAATGTCTGAGGTTTTCCTAATATGTTAACAAGTTCTGAAAAGTATGAGACTTCAAAATGATATAAGAGATGCCAGGCCCTCAAGTTAACTCTTAGTCTAGTATGCACCCCCTTTCATATGACATCCATGATGTTGGAATGCTTTCCTGGGTTAAAAGATACATTCTCATAGTTCATAAGATATATATAATATGATATATAAAATCATATAGTGTTTTAGACACTCTACTCAATAGCAATCTGCCTCAAAATGTGGGCATTAATTATTTCAAAGCACACAATGGAGGCAAGAGCTGTTCTAAAACAGTTGCTACATAAGACAATCAACTAATTAAATCAAAATAATTACCAGAGAGATAAGTCATGACTTCTTAGGGCTGTACATTATCAACATCTCTGTCTGAAATAAACTACCACAGAGAGAATTCAAACCCCAACACATATTCACCCACACCACACACCTACCCTCTTTCCTTTACTGTGCCTTCTGAGACAAAAATCAAGTGCTACACTCCTTCACGCAACTGTTTTGAGAATCAAATGAAATCACAGAATTGCAAGTATTTTTGCAACAGAAATATAAGCAGTAGTAGAAGTTTGTGAGCCAAATTTTGGGGCAGCTGTAATTGCTATAAAATTCATTCTAAGAGTGAATGAAAACTCTCTCCAACTTATAGCTACTGATTCAAACTCTATATTCTGGAACAGCACGTGACAAATTGCTTTTCTTTTCCATGTGACAGTCCTTTAAATAGCTGAGGATAGCCATGTTATTCTGCTTAAACCTCCACTACAAAAGACTGGGTCTTTCTCTGCTCCTTTAACAACACGATATTCAACCAGCTCTCTCTGTTAAATTTTGCATTGTGGGACTTAGGGGAGTTTAGGTAAAGCTACCTCACAGAGAACATGATGTGGTTGGCCTGGCACAACACACAGCAAGATTATCATCTGCTTTGATCAGCATCTCCACATCCAGCAATACAATCTAAGGGTACAGCAGCCTCCCGGTCTTGCTGTGGAGTCTGCATACCTGATCTGCACTTGAGTGACTAATTACCACCTCAACATTAGGCTCTACTTCCTTTGAGATGGTTCAGGATCTGTATCTAGTTACTTATTACATAAGGTTTCCATGTTGGGTTATGTCATTTAAATATTTGACAAGTGGATCAAAGCATTATTTAAGAAAAACAAAGAATCAGAGACATTGTCCTAAATGAAGCCACATGAGAGTTCCTATTGCTAGATGAATGAAGAGTATTCCAGTGTGGTTTTCAACGGGCTATGATTCCATCACTTTTTTTACTACATTTTCATTAGTTATCTTTAAAATACTTGGCTCAAATTAACGTATTAGCAGCTCCCGTCTCCTATTTTATAAGAAAAAAATGAAATTGGCTTATATTTATTTTTTTGTGAAAATTACAATGAATTTCAACAATCTCCAGGCTTTTATTAAAATATAATATCATTTTAATGATTTTAAAATTTGCTAGAGACTGGCCTACTGTTCACAACATCATGGAATTTATGGCGGAAGAAAATTCCCCTTTTGAAAATCGGCCGCTTCCCCATGCTTTGTGGATTTCCCAAGACACCAAGCAGGATTCTGCAATCTCATCTTTTAGCGGTAAATATACATCAAATATGTTCTTAAGGTTTCCATCTTTATGTAAGTTAGGCTCTGTTTTCTTTCATTCATTTTAGGTGTTACTTCCCTCTTTTGGATGCTAATTCTCCCTGACTCTCCCTTTTATAGTTTAAATAACAAATTGTCCTTGATAGAAAGAAGAAAAACAATAAGACTGCGATTAGGCATGTTTATCTTGTTATCTCTTAAAAGAATCAATTCGTGTATACTATCCCTTATTCCTTCAGATTCCTGCCTTTAAGCAGCCATTTAATGCCTGGACGTGCTCTTAGGTTTCAGCTCGGGATTCAGCTTTCCTGAGTTTGCCCTTGGGCTCCGTGTACCCATAGGTCCTTAGAAGGACAGCAGGCATGAGCCAATTCTGCTATCCTCACCCAGAGATTGCCAGGCACACAGGAGACAGCAGTTCCCCAGACCGGGTCTCTCACTGCCCCTCCTGTTACAGTGGCGGGGGAGGTTGTCACCAGTTCCACTGGCTGTGCTCCAATGAAGAAAGAGCTACCTTCTAAATCTGCATTCCCATGGATGTCACCCAGTGACCCTGATAAACTTTCCTTGGGGGCTCTTCTTCCCTGGGATTAGCCATGATTACAAACACGGTCTGAGTTATCTCTGACATCTTTCCAGTCTCTGCAACCTAAGAGTTCTTAACCAGAAGCGTGTAACCCCTATTGCCTATGATTGTGCTTCAACAGACCTGTGAATCTCCAGAAATTCTTTGAAAAATGTGGTAGTTATGTATGAAGAGAATTCTTAGTTTAATTCAAATTCTTAAAGGGTTTCACAATCAAAACAACTAATAAAAATTTCTAAAAGCGTGTTTTCAAGGCTTTCTAACCATTTCATCTAAGTTTTAACTCAGTTTTTGAGATATACTCTCCTAAAATTCAAAAATAATTTTATAGCAAAGTCTATTTTACTTGAAATAGAGGGAGACATGACAACACTATCCATTCAATTGGATCAATAAACTGAAATCAAACTGTGTTCTTAGAGCTGGGTACACACACATAGATCTTTATACACAAGTCCATAAATTTCTAGCTAAATATAATAAATATATGTCTACTATAAGCATGTTTTATAGCTCAGGATATTACATCTTCTAAAGAGTAAAATAATTCTAAAGAGTAACAATAATGGCTAAAATTAATTTAATGGGAATTTTGTACCAGTCATTGTCCATGATATTCATATAAACTATTTAATCTTTATAGCAAAAGACATGAAGTTTTACAAAGAAAAAACTGAGGATTAGACAGAATAATTAGTATTACCAAAGCTACAGCATTGGGGTTAGTGAGTAGTAATATCAATGTTCCCCCAAAAGTTTGTCTGTCTGTCTTGTTTCTCTCTCTCTCTTAATCTCTCTCTCCCTCTCTCTCTTAGTGTCTCTTTCCCTCTCTCTGTTAATCTCTCTCTCCCTGTCTATCTTTCTTTCTCTTATCTACATACTTCCATCCATCCACCCACCCACCTATACAATCATCTAGTAATGGTATATATTTGTTTAAGTAAAACTCTGTCTCTAATTAGATGTTTTGAATAATTCTAGGGCACTTATATAAATACAAACTGTAAAAATCACTTCATTTGTAATCCTCTTAAATAAGAGCAAGCTGTTTTATCTTTTAAAATAGCCTTGAAGTATAATAAATTAGTATGATAATGATTTTCCCTACTAAGCATCTCTTATGTAGTTAGCCTGTATATAAGCATACGTGCATGACAAATAAGAAGACATATATATCCTGATACCGGATAGATATAATTTTGAGGCCACTAGCAATGATCCTGACTAGCATGCATAAATCAGAAATTCATAAAATGACTTTTCTCCATTTGCTATTTTTTCATCTGAAAAAAAAGTGATAGAAATTAGACAAAACATTTTCAAACTACTAATATTAGAGGAGAGGAGAAAAAATGCCAGAGAGCTTGCTGAGAGAACCTCCACAAATGCAATCTCCGAGTTAATTGGATTATGTATTTGAGCCCCTGATTAATGTCAAAGTGAGAATAATAGAGAATCCATTTCCAGCTGCACAAGTTTGTCAAACAGCTCAAGGGCCTGTCTGAGACAGGGCAGTGCTGTCTTCATCACGACCAGGTCAGCCCTTCCTTCCTCCACGGGGCATTCATCATCCTGCTCAGGCTTGTTTGCTCCGTGTCCCTTGCAGAAGCAACATAATTGCTTCAAAAGAGAGGAAATCATGAAGTCGACAGCAGGTTCAAAGCCATCCTGAGGGTTTTCTCTTTCAGAAAACAAACCGTAATTCTGCAGCAGCGTTTCTCATCACATACCCGAAAAGTGACAGCAGGAGGGCCGTGGCTGCCAAGTTCTTGCGGAAAGTAAAAGCTGTTAACTGGAAGGCGACAATAACGGCAACACACAGGCAGACGGAAACCAAGTAAAAGAGCTGAGAAGATAAAAAGAAATAAGGGAGAGCTGTTACATCAGATGGTCATATTTATTATCATCTACTTATCCTGAAGTTTCCTTTCAACTTCACAAATATATTTCCTATTTTGCACATTAGGAGTTCTGTAGCCGTGGAATTAGTCCTGGAAAGTCGCTTGTTTTAATCTGAGTTGTACCCCCCCACAATTTATACATTGAACCCCCAGTATTTCAAGATGTGACTGTATTTGAAGACAGGACTTTGAACAAGTGATTAAGGTAAAATGAAGTCAATTGGGTGAGCCCTCATCCAACATGACTGGTGTCTCTAGAGGAGATCAGGATGCAGTCACTCTCAGAGGGCTGACATGTGAGGACACAGGGAGAGGATGGCTGTCCACAAGCCAAGGAGAGAAGCCTCAGAAGGAATCAACCCTGCCAACACCTTGATCTCAGACTTCCAGCCTCCAGGACAATGAGAGAATCAAGTTTCCGGGGTGAAGCTACCCAGCCTGTGGTATTTTGTTATGGTGGCCTGAGGTGACTACTACTGTCATGCATATCCATCTCCTTTGAGGAGGGTCAAGGAATCCAATCAGCTTTCATGAAACACAGCCTCCTCCCACACACGTAGAACCAAGGACAGGCTCCTCACACTACCTCCCTATCCAGCCTCACCTTAAGGTGCTCCCTGCAGGCCAACAATAGCCATGGCTTTCCTTCAGGCTCTCACACGCCTGGTTCCTTCTTCTCTTAGAGCCTCAAGCTGCAGACCTCTTCCTGCACGTCATCCATGGGCAGGGCCCCTTCTTACCTCACAGATCTCAGGTAAAGTTTCACTGTCTTCTTTGACCTTCACATTTGAAGTCATCCTCCATCCCATCAATCTCTTTCATTCTTTCAACAGACCCAGTCATGGCCAACTGTATCCTGCGCATTTATTTATTTGTTTGTTTACTAGTTTTTCTGCTTCCTCTCATAAGAATCTCTTTGAGGGAGCAATCTTCTCTGCTTTATGCATGGCTTTATGCCCAACACCATTTGGGGGGCTATGACAGAATAACACAGACCAAGTATCTTATAAACCACACAACTTTATTGCTCACAGTTCTGGAGGCTGGAAAGACCAGAATCAAGGTGCTGGCAGATTCGGTGACTGGCGAGGGCCAGCTTCCTCGTTCAGGCTGTGACTTCTCACTGTGTCCTCACATAGAGCTCTCTGCGGCCTCTTTTACAAGGCCATTAATCCCATTCAGGAGGGCTCCATTCTCAGAACCTAATTATCTCTCCAAGATCCCACATCCAAATACCATCACACTGGGGATTAGGTGTCAACATGAATTTTGGGGGGACATAATCATTTAGTCTATAGCAACCTTGGACCCACCTTGACCCACAACAGATCCTCAAAAATATTTATTAAATTAGTGATTGAATAGAATAAGCAGAGAATGATTGGATGAAGATGGAAAACCATCCAAGCAAGAAGCAAGAAACCCTTCCTGTCCTTAATCACCAAGATCAAACATCACAGAGTAAAGAAGAGTCAGACTGAGTGGGAGGCATAAAGAGATAATAAACTAAGGGTGCTGAAAAGAAGGAAGATCCTGGGGTTTTGGAGACTTTGAAAGCCCCATGGTGTCCTAGAAACGTGGCCCCCTGTGTGTTGTGATTCTCTCTTGCCACACACTTCTTCCCTTTTATCTGGGAAAGTTGTGGCCCTTAGACACTGTTAAATGACAGACGGCAGAGAGACAAGTAGCCAGCAGCAGTGTGTAGCACAGGGAACAAAACTGGACCAGGAGACAGAGGCTGGCACTGAGAAGCCATCTCTGTACCAACTAGATGTAAAATCTTGGACAAGTCACTTCCACTTGCCTGCCTTCAAGTGTCCCTCAGTAAAGATAAGGGTTTAAAGACCCAGAATTTGTCAATCTTGGTTAAGATTCATAAATCACCTTGAGTACCTAGTAAAACACAGACCTCCAAGTCCCCCCAGTCCTACTGAATAGAATCTCGAAGGATAGGCCCTTGGGAATCCTTATTGTTACCAAATGTCCCAGGTGATATCTATCACCAGGCAGGTTCAGGGAAACCTCTGATTAAATTAAATGAACTCCTGAAATGTTAGGTAACTTAGGTGTGACCCCGATAAATTGTACTTTCAAAACAAAACAAAAATCCAAGTTACATGATCAAAAGAAAATAAATTAGCTAAATTCTAAGCCAGCTCAAAGAAATAAACCTTACAGGAAAGCAACATGTTAATATGCGGAAATTTGTGCCTGGTGTAGCACAGCTCAGACAGCACCTAGTGCATGGAAGGTGCTCAGTAAATGGTTGACCTCCGGCCTTCCACTGACTTATGTATGATTTTCTGTATCACAAGATGAATCATATGTATGAGGGCAAGGATATCACTTTCCTACAAAATAAAGACAGCTCCACCAGAGAACAATGACAGTAGATATTGACCACTAAGAACAACTTATCATATAAGATGCTTTTTTTTACTTAAGATAAATGTCCTGAAGAATAGGGAACACCTAGACAAAGCATCTGTTATTGTCCCCCAGGATGGCAGACACTGATCTGGAGGGTTTCCATTGGGAAACTGAGTGCATTCCAAAAATGCTAATAATACCCGCCATACCTATTAGGCAATGAGGCACAGGTCTCACAGGAGGGGGTGTTAAGCATGCAGATGAAAGATCATTTCTAATGATTTTTATCACCTCATCTGCTACCCCATTGAAAAGAGCATAGTAAAGGTAATAATTTTCTCATCTTCTCAATAAGAAACTTTGCATCTTTGTAAAGTTCTATAATTTCCCAGTTCTCCAGCCTGAAGCTTATCAGTCTTCCCCTTATGAACCAATTCTATGGTGATCAGTAAAGGTGACTTAATCTGAAATGCTCTTATCAATAAGATGACCCCTTTTTGTGGACACTCCAAGGCAGCCAGGGCCCCAATGCCCCCCTCCATCCCTCCATACACGCACTATTTAGATCACTATTGTGGAGGCACACAGAATCTCATTCCCAAATCCTACCATGTCATATAGGAAGTTTGTGAACCAGTACATCCTGTAGCCAAGGCCACTTATGTGCTGCAACCTTTTGGCTCCAATCACCCTGTCCCTCACCACAGAGCTGCCGATGGATGCAGACAGGATGGAGAATCCCAGCACGATGCAGAGGGCCACTCCACACTGACGGATGCTCTCCAGGCTGCGGGTGGAACAGAGCAGCTCTCAGGCACCTGACGAAGAACACAAGCCTTCTTTGCTAATAACAATCAGCAATGATGACAGCAGTGAAAACTGCTAATTAAAAATTCATAATCAGCCAGGCATGTTGGCTAAGGGCATGGATTCCCTCATTAAATCCCCTCAGCCACCTTTTGAGACATGGATGACTAAGCTCAGTTTACAGAAGACAAAACTGAGGAGCACAGTTTGAGGGCATTTCGGAGTCTTCTTGTGTCAAAATCTGCTCTTCACCATTGAGCCTGACTCCCAATTAAGATGAAAGATATCCTCTGAGCAGCATCCGGGTAAGCTGTGACCTTTGCCCACACAGGGACTGCTTTGCAATACAGTAGCACCTGCCAGAGAGGAGCCTTCACTACAGCTCCACACTGCACTGGCCCATCTCTGAATTTAGTCACATGAAATACCAACAAGATTTTGCAATAGATTGAGGTGCTCTGTAATATTATACACTGTACATTTTCTTAGTAATTGTTTTACCTGGAACACTACTACTTTTACTCAAGTCAATTGCTGCCTCCTCTCAACTCCTTTAGGAACAGTCAGACCACAGATGGTCTTTCAGGAGGCCGACACGATGGAACTCCTCAGCACAAGTCATCTGCTGTGCCATGCCTTCTGCTCCATCGTGTCGCATTCTACAACAGATGTCAGCTAGCCTACTCTTGGAATTCTGGCAGGTGTCAGACACTGTTAAAGCTAGAACCCTGAAAATCATTAAGTGAACGTGAGGACAAGCTGCAACCCAACCGGTGCTTCCTGCCGGTTCCTGCCAGATTAACAACTTGAGCAGAGAATGCCCATTAAGCAGATTTGCATTCTGCGACTTAATTTGGTAGGTCATAAAAAGTTTTTCAAAAATACCCACTTTTATTATCGACTTTTAATTAAAAGTTTGTCGACCATATAATAGAGAAGGGAGATGGGGGAGAAAAAGAGAAGACAGGTGGAAGCATGCTACCCTTTACAAAGACAGTGAGAACTGACACAGAATTCTGTACCTGAAGAGCTCTGGCCTTATCCCCACCCATGTCTCCATCTGGATCAGGAGGAAAATCTTGCATGAGAAATATTCAAGGAGGCGTTACTATGTTTATGTACATGAATGCAATGTTTATGATTTTAACCCCGAAAACTCTTCAGAAGATGTACAGTCCCATAAGTTTCTGGTAAATCATTCCCTTAGAAGAATTTCTGCTTAGAAGTACAGTTGCATGACAAACTCATCTGTTTTAAGCTCAGTCAATGTACTGACTCTCTTAATAGTCGTTTTTCTCACACTTTGCAAAGAAATGCCCAAGTCCTGTGGGCATTTCCTGCTAACTCTATAAGCCATCTCTTGGGGCAAATGCAAAAGAGAGACCAAAGTCATCCCTAAGTAACACAAAGATTTTCTTCCATAGTCAGGGTCACACACCCCTCAGCATTCCATCAACTCACATCTTGTCCTCGTTCAGCAAGGCCCCTCCATATGGGTGGCTGTAGAGTGTTATTCCTGTGAAAGACAAATTGAAAAGTGAGCCTTCAGCCTGCTCCTGCATGGTGAATCGCAGCTCATCTACAGGCTACGCAGATTCCCTGTGCCATCACAATGTATCCTGCTTGCTTTGCCCAGGCCCTGGTCAATTAGCAGAAAAAAATGGCAAATTCCATTGTGAAATTCAGCAAATATGTGCTGGGATTTCTGTCATTGCTGTTGTTGTCAAACATAACCAGCATGAATTGTTCATGCTTTACATGACAGGCCCTATGTTCATAGGTTCTCATGTTTTATTGTGTAATCCTCATAAGTATCCCATAGCCTATGTTTGCAGAGAGGAAACATACTCAGGCTAAGTAACAATATGCAAAGAAGACTATCTGATATGAATCAGATCAATATTCACCTCTAGATCAAGCCACATCTAGATAGATAGATAACGACTGTTTCACTGAACCAATTTTGGTTTTGGAGTTGTTTGTTTTGTTTTGCTTTGTTTGCTTTCTTGGGCTTGCGCATGTGTGTGATGCCAGCGGCCAAAATGAAGAAACTGCCATCAGCTTATCAATTAAAAGCATTTTATTATAAGAGCTGTTTATAATATCACAGAGTGGGACAGTGCTTCCCCAGAAATTCTAGTCAATATTGTGTTAAGAAGAACTCCATAAATAAAGTTGGTTCGTGTTTTATCTTGGACATTGTGGACTGTGAGAGTAATCAGATTTCCTTTGCCTAATTGGTTGTGTCAGTGATTGGAGTCAAATGTGTGGCTTGTATGTGGAGGCCATTACCAAAGGCACAAATCCTTGCTCCATTTCATGTTGCCAGTCCTAGATTTTGCTTATTTTTCTTTTGGCTCGCCTTTAATTTACCCTATCATCTGTATTTTAATTTATACTATCACCTGTATTTTAATTCATCTTATCGGTATTATCTTATCGGCACTGCTTTATGAGAGCACATTAAATCCTTACTGAAACATCATGGGGTATAAGTAAGCCTACAAAAAAGGTACAGAGTTGGAACAGGCTACAGTGCTCCAAACTTCCAACAGCTTTGCGACCAGGCATCTGGACTTCTGTCCCTTTGCCACCTGCTCTTCTCCCCAGCTATGCCAGCCTTTTTTTTCCTTCTATTGGGAACTCAGCCACGTACTAAGGCAAGTTCCGGCTCATAAAAGCAACAACAGTAGGAGCTGTTGGTTCAGCAAATCCACTGTACAGTTTTCCAGAATAAATTTTGATTATAAATTAATACTGTCCAGATATTCTGGTCCAGGCTCGCAGTGTGTGTGCCTGACACCTGCTGCATCGCTTCCTGGATCCTGGACTTACCACATTCATCATGAACTGAATTGTGTGGTCTTGATCCCTCACCTGTCTGGACCAATAACACCCACCAGTCTTTCTCCTATGTGTCTTTCTTTCACCAAGCTTTATTTCTAGCCTACACCTCATGGGGCCTGCCAGTCCTGTCCTTCCTAGCTAAAGTGTTGACTCACAGGGAGCTTCTCACTTGATGTGCAGCCCAATGTCAACCAACCTTATCAGGAGGTCAGAAAAAGCCAAGCGACATTAGACAGTGTTTATAAAGTATCAGATCCTGCCAAAGTATGGCCCGTGGACCACTGGTGCTGTGGAGTATATTTGCAATGTTGTGTGCTCTTCTAGACTCTACGTAAGAATGAGAACACTCTGGATTAAGAGGATCCAGAGAAATGTGGTTAGCTGAGTACATGTCTTGGAATTATATTATTTGAGGAACACAGTAGAATACTGAAATTGTTTAACCTAAATATACACACACACACCCTGGGGCAAATATCCCCATCATCTTCCCAGTCACCCAGGCTCAAAAAACACTAAGCCCTCCCCATCTCCCTGCTCTTCTTCACCCCACACATCCAAGAAGTTACCGAGTCCTGTTACTTTCACGTGAACTCCATCCTCGCAGTGCCAGGCCTCACTCACAAACATGTGCATCCCTGCTCAGCTCACCTCTCCGCACACTCATGAATCCCTCACCCAGAAAGCCTAGAGAACTTCCAGAAAGAAATAGAAAAATATAGAGCCCATATTCTTTACCTAGACACAGATCTCCTTTAAAGTGAAACCCAATCTTTGTATTCTCCCACTGCTCCCATTTGAAAAGCTGGATTGCTATCATTTCCCCAAACTCTATGGCTGCAGGCATATGTTGTCATTTGCTTATGCTTCCTGTCCAACCCTGCTGACACCCCACTCCTGCCTCATGTCTGTCCAACGCTGAATTTAATTTCCTTGGTTTTCAATTATTATTGCTTTCATTTTGTTTGTTTTGTTTCCAGCTTTATTCAGGTATAACTGACAAATAATAATTGCAAACATTTAAGGTGTACTATGTAATGTTTTGATATATGTATACATTACAAAATGATTATCACAATTTTTATCCTGCTGGTGGGAATGTAAATTAGTACAGCCCTTATGGAAAACACTATAGGGGTGCCTCAGAAAATTAAAAATAGATCTACCATATGCTCCAGCAAACCCATTTCTAGATGTATGTCAAAAAATAAAGTAAAATAAAATATTATCTTGAAGAGATATCTGCAGGCCCATGTGCATTGCAGCATTATTCACAATAGCCAAGATATGAAAATAACCTGTGTCTGTTGATAAATGAGTGGATACAGAAAATATAAGATAGATATTCATGCACATAATGGAACATTACTCAGCTTCAAAAGAGAAGGAAATCCTGTCTTGGAGACAACATGAATGAACATGAAAGACATTATGTTAAGAGAAATAAGTCAGGCAAAGAAAGACAAACACTGCAAAATCTCATTTATGTGTGGAACTTTTAAAAGTCAAATTCACAGAAAGAGAGAGTAGAAGGCTGTCACCTCAGGCCAGGGGAAAGAGGCAATGGGGAGATGTTAGTCAAAGGATACAAAATTCCAGACATAAGATAAATAAAGCCTGGGCATGGTAGCTCACACCTGTAATCTCAGCCCTTTGGGAGGCCAAGGAAGGAAGATTGCTTAAGCCCAAGAGTTTGAGGCCAGCCTGGACAACATGGAGAGACCCCATTTCTACCAAACAAATTGTTTTAATTATCAGGGCATGGTGGCATGCAACTGTAGTGGCAGCTACTTGAAAGGCTGAGGTGGGAGGACTGCTTGAGCCCAGGAGTCTGAGGCTGCAGTGAACCATGATTGCGCCACTGCATTCCAGCCTGGGCAACAGAGTGAGACCTCATCTCTCTCAATAAATAAATACATACATAAGTAAATATGTAAATAAGTTCTGGAGACCTAATGTATAGCATGGCAACTACAGTTAATAATGTTTTGCATACTAAACATTTGCTGAGAAATTAGATCTTAGTTATCCTCACAAAAAAAGGATTAATTAAATTTTCAGGAGTATGAAGATGGGCAAAAAGGAGGAGAGGAAAATCTCAAACTCTAAGTCCTTTCAAACTTGTGAGCAGAGAGAAAGAGTTGGTAGCCAGAAATACACAAAAATTAGCCTGTAGCCATGTGCTGTATGCTATTTAGGACATTAGACTATTTGTATAAATTCTGATAGAGCAACTATGTCACATCAGAATTATTATGCCTGTTTACAGAAGCAGTATCTGAAGCACAGATATTTAGGAAATGTTCCTATAGACTGACAGCTATGACACAGCTGAGATTCAGGCCTTAGTCTGCAGACACCACAACTATTTCCCTGCCAGCATATCATACACCCTTCTTCAGCACACGTGTCTGGTTTTCCTAAGACTATAGCCATACAGTGGGAAGGATACAGGGCTGGAAGTTGAAGGCCTCTGTTCTATTCATTCTTCAGTGAAAAGCTGCCAAAAGAACACTGCTGTTTCTGTGGGGAGCTCAATAATAAAATATTAAACTACCAAGGTTGGATCTTTATTTGATCAAGTCGCATAAATACCTTTTCTTACCTTAAACCATGACAGTCACTGCTGAAAGATTAAAAACAGTGTTCTCATATTTGCTTTCTGTATCCTAGTTCTTCTGTTATGAATTTATTGCCCTTCATTTTAGCACATTTCCTGGATTTGTGTCATTCTTTTAGGGTTTTCATCTAGGAGGCGAGAGTACATCTGGTCTCCCATCTCGCTGGTGAAATGATTGACTGCTCCTGTAGTTAGTAATTCCCCAACGTGCCAGACCCTCTCCTGGAAGTTTTCATAATACATTTTCTCATTCAGTAATCTGATGGTGAAATTGTGTTAAGGAAGCTAGTATGCTATGCACAGTTCTTTGTAAGTCAGCTTTCAGCATTTTAGAATTATAGATTCTTTTAGGAAAATGAAATCCCATGAAGTGGTCTAGCTTGGACAGGCCCTTGTGTTCCAGAAGCAGAAACAGAATCAGAGGAATGTTGTGACTTTTCCTGGAGTTTAGAACCTGCTCCTGACACAGGCAGAACCCACATGTCTGGAGTCACAGGTATGTGTCTCTCTCATCAAATCACCTACTAACATACAGAGCACTGAAAATCCTGCCTCTACAATGAGCCGCAATGGATCCCAATGACAGCATAACATAGAAATGAAAACCTCAACTATGACAGCAGAAGAGAGCAGCTGATAAATTTCACGTAATGAACTTCAGGAGACAGCCCACTGATGGCAGCCATCCTGCCTTTTCCGATTTTTTGCACATAGCTGTAATCTTCCATGAGCTCTGTCTCTACTTAGGTCTTAGAAGTAAAAAACCACTGGTGCAAATACCTGAACCCCCACAAACTACAGTGGCTGCCTCTCTCTTCCTAGGTCCCTTACTCATAAATAATTCAGAGGGGCCACAGATTTTCATTTGGCACAGGCTTTAGAGTCCTATAATTTACATGATTGTCATAGAGTAAATATTTAAAGACTCTATTAAAGAACACACTGATCTACAGTTCCTCTCATGGGGCGCTCTAGGGAATCCTCATGGCCTTGGAATGGGGCCTTTCTGCTTAGTGCTCAGAGCTCTTGGACAATTCCTAAGCATTTTGGGGCTTAACATTCCCATGTTTTTACTCTGAAATTAAAAAATTATCTTTCAAAGCTAATACACAGAGAATGAGAGGGCTTAGACCACAGTGTTTAGGAAAATAATGTCATCAAGTAAGTAGAGAAAACCCTGGACCTGCTGTCAGTCTTGAGTTCACTCCCCACCTCCCTCCACTGGACATTGACCACCAGCTTTTATAAGACAACAGCCTGCCCCTGTCAGGCCAAGGGTTAAAGAATGTTCTGACTTTGTTATGATTTTGGTGGTGAAAACCGGGGCACTGGACAGTAATTGAGTTTCACCAAGGGTCAAATAGAGATTTGATTCCTCTTCCTTCACAGAACGGAGAATTCATTCAACACGCATCTTTTCTCTGCCCATTATGCCGCAGCAGTCTGATGGGAGGGACACACCATGGTGAGGGTACTATAGCCCACTCACAGGACTATGTCCTGTGTAAGGTCACCTAAGAGGTTGGGTGCAGCAGGGTGGGAGGAAGTCGGGGAGCTTTCTAAGGAAAGGTAGATTCCAGATGCACAGGATACCCCAGCACAGGGCTGGAGTGCAAGGAAAGTACAGTCCTACAGGGCTGCCCTGGAGCTTCAGTGGGAAGACTGGAGGGGTGGCAGAGAGGTGCAGGGTGAAACCCATGCAATGTTTTGGTTTAGGAACACTGGGTGAACTTTTCATTTTTATCTTGCAATTTAGCTTATCAATCACTACATTAGATGTTTTTAGAATCATAGTCATTCGTTGAAAGCAGCTGCATAGAATTAAACATACATTAAAAATCAAGCAAATATATCTTTAAATTGGTGCTAAAAAGATTTTACTCTTATTTTTCAAAAAGGAAGATGGACTTGGAGTTACTTAAATAAATAATGGATATTTTCTCAAAAATAAGAGTAATGAATAAAGAAAGAACAAACAAGACACAGGTGGAAGCTTACTCTCCTACCTAAGGTCCTTGGTTGTCCTAGATCCCTGAGCAAAAAGCAGCAGGTAGGAGCAATTGCAACGGCATGGGCTCACCCTCACACTACCCTGCACCTTCCCATGATACCCCTTGTTCTTTAAAATTGTAAAACGTTAGAAAGCAGAACTCTCTTCATGGATCCAAAGAAAGAGAGGATAGCTATGCCCTGTCTCATAAAGAGGAATCCTACGAGACGTGATGGAGCCTACTGTAGAGGAAGTGTAGCCAAGGTTGGTGAGTGGGTGCAGGTAAGGAAACTGAGGCATAAGCTTACTCTACTAACTTATCTGAGGTCAAGCATAATTGGTACCAGAGTGAGAACTACAACCCTGATTTTCTGGATACCAGTCTGATCAATTTCCTATGAGACTAGGAAAATCATTTGTAGTCTTTGATACCCTTGCTGTAAAAAACACATTATTGCAATGGACAATCTCTGTAATTGGGTTGTAGATTTCATTGTATGTTGAGCACTCAGTACTCTAGGTAGGTAACAATTGTATTGTGATAGAATCTTGAGACAATGATGTTGGTAAAAGGTCCAAGGCTCCTAAGTAAAAGGGGCATAGTTTCAACACCAGAATTGAGTAGAAGAATCTCACTGAAGTCTTTACGACATTACTTCACAAGTTTTCAGAAATGACGTTTCAAAATGTACATGTTGAGTACATTTGAATAATTTTTCTTTGTTTGATTGTTATTATCATTTATATTCCGGCTTTTCTTTCCAGGAATTGGCCCACAGCAATGTATGAATGTACAAAATTAGTTTTCTCATTTAGTGTTCTCATTATGGCTACATCTGTTATGGTTTCCAGACTCTGTTTATTTGTCATTGGTAAAAATGCACATCTGTGCTTTTGTCCAATATCCATTATGATAGCAAGATACTTAAGATGTCTCCAATTCAAGTACTCACTTTCGGGTTCATTACTCCTATAAAATGTATATCTTTAGAAGTATTAATGCCCAGATGTCTGTAAGCATCTACCAAAAGGAAAAACTTGTCTTATCATCAATATATGTGGAAAGTTTACGTTGTTTTAATTAATTCATTATGAGATATCAGTGAAATATGTAAGAGTAAAAAGTTAATTCAATCTAACAAACTATTAAAAGAAATATATGCGTTCTTCTGACTACAAGGCGTTTTGATGACTTTCTCTCTCTCTTCCTCATCAATCTATCCTGAAAAAATGTATTTTTCTCAATATTAATTATTACTCTATGAGTAATAGATGCCAATTGTAGAAGGGTTTTACATTTTTAAATAGGGTAAAGAATAAAATTAAAATAACTTATAATCCTATCCAAAACCAATCAGAAGTAATCACTGTTTGCATTTGGATCTTAATTCTGTTGAGAATTTTCTCTACATGTATGCATTATTATTAAGTTTTATATTACATATCTTCAGTTTAATGGGTAATTCTTGATCTTCCATTAATTTTTCACCACATGCATGCAAACATTTGCATAATCTATGTCCTTCACTACAACCGGTGCTCACCCAAGTTCTTTTCTTCATTGTGTGCATTCAATATTTTCATGATCTTCCTTTCAGTTAATATCTCAAATAACTACCTCCTGGCATTCTTTCTAATGGACAATATGTCTACAGTATATTTTTGAGCCACATTCTATATGAGCATATCTCTGTGGCCTGTGTACTTTATGGAAACATCTTCACTAGGTACAGAATGTGGGGAGTATAGCCTTTTCTTTCCATATTCCATAGGTGCTATTCTATTATTCTTTGCCTTTGAGGTTGTGGCTAATATGTCAGAGATAGTCCTCCTAGATGGAGCAGCCCCAGTTCTGCCAAGTCCTCATTTTTACAATAAAAAACTGCTGGACATAACACAACAAACAGAAATAGGAAGATTCTGGGGTGCAAACAAGATGATGGTGCCCTGAGACTATAAGACTTCAACAATACAACAGTAAATATTCTGGCTTCCTTATCACCTCACATATATCCTGAACAAGGCATTGCCAAAGTCTCCAAATTGAAACTCAACAAGTACAAATAAGAAAGGCTCCCAAAAATAAAAAACCCAAGGACCCGGAAAAGAGTGGTCTAACAAAAGAACTACTTTTTAGCAATATCTGCCTTACTCTAGGCAAACACCACCAGCAAAACTGTCCCCACCATCTCAGGTTTCAGCAGGGCCCATTGGGTAGTGAATCTTCCACTCCCCACCTGACAGAGACAAGGGGCACAGTGGTTTTCTCACTGGGGTCCTGAGGCAAGTTGAGACTCCATCCCCACCTGGTAGCAATGAGACTTCACAAAGCAGAGTGAGACAGGGCTAGCCGCCACTCTACTTCTCATGTCATGAGGGACCAACAAAGAGCTGAGCCTCCATATCTACCTGACAGCAATGAGACTGAACCCAGAAGTGCAGAATACGGCTACTCAGTACCCTGGTTCCACCACTGCCCCCACCCCAGTGGCAGCAGGGCACAGAGGGATGCCAAGCATCCATTCCCATCTGGCTTCGATGAGACTAAAGAATACTTTCAAAGTGAGCCAGCTGGTACTTCACTACCTGTCCCCAGCGTCATCAGGGCCCAATGGGGAGCAGACTCTACTCCCCCACTCACTTAGAGACAATGAGACAGCATGAGTCAGTGCCTCATTTGCCATGAATGTGTCAGTGAGGCTGGTGGGCGATCTGGTCCCACTCATCTGCACAAAAGCAGTGTAAGTCAGTTCTCTACCTTTGCCTAGCCAGGGTGGTGTCATCAGGCCCACAGGGAATCAAAACATATACATCTAGGTGGCTCTCATATGATTCCTCAACAGAGGGCTTGCCTGCTAGGAAAAGGAATCCAGAGTCACATATTACAGTTTCCAAAATGCCTAGGATACAACTGAAAATAATCCTTCACAACAAGAGCCAGAATATTACCAGTTGAAAAAGGCAATAAAAAATGGTAATGTCAAAATGAACTGAATGTTGAAATTATCTGACAATATGTATCATAAAGATGCTTCAAAAAGTAATTTTGAATTTTCCTTAAATATGAAAAACAAATTAAAATCTCATTAGAAAATATAAATGATTAAAAAATGAATGAAAATTCTAGAACTAAAATATACAATGACAGAAATTAAAACCCACTGGACATGCTCCACAGTTGAGTGCAGCTAAAAAAGAAGAGACTGCATGGACTCGAGATGAAAAAAATAAAACTTATCCAATCTAAATAACATAGAGAAATAAACTTTTTAAAAAATGAGACTCAGGAAAGAGACCTCTGGGAAAACAATACAAGAGCTAATAATCTTATTACCTGATCTTAGAGAAAAGGGAAAGAGAGAGTGGGGCTGAAAAAGTGTTCAAAGACATAACAGCTGAAAACTTCCCAAGTTTGGCAAAAAAAAACCATAAACCTAAAAATCCAAGAGCTAAATAAATCCCAAATAGGATAAAACCAAAGAAAGCCACACCAAGATACATCATAATTAAATTTCTAGAAACTAATAAGTCAACAAAAAAAATTCTTTAAAGCCGTCACAAAGAGAGAAGGAAGAAAATACCAACTAGAATAGTAATGGATTTCTAATTTGAAACCATGGAAGCCAAAAGGAAGTAGCACATTTTTCAAGTGCTGAGCTTTTCTTTAATTGTCAACCATGAATTCTATATTCAGTGAAAATATCTTTCAAGAATCAAGGTGAAATAAAGATCGTATCAGTTGAAAAAAATAAGCAAATTTTTCATTAGCAAACCTACTCTTAAAGAATAGCAAAAAGAAGTTACATAAGCACAAAGGAAATCATAACAGGAAAAGGCTTAGAACTTACAAAAGGAAAGATGAACATCAAGATACGTTAAAAATAGAAGTAAATATAATAGACTATTGTTCATCTCATGAGTTTCCTAAGTCATATTTGGTGACTTAACTAAGAATTAGAACACCATCTGATGTGGTGTGTATAGGAAACACTTAAGACAATAATATTTTAAAGGTAAACAGGGTAAAAGTAAATTGAAGTAAGCTTTCTACACTTCACCCAAGGTAGTAAATAACAATATCAGTAGACTGTGATAAGTCATATATATGTATTATAACACCTAGAAGAACCACTAAGAAAACTAAATGAATGTATATACTTAAAAATACTATAAATAAATCATAATAGAATCAAAAAAAATGCTCAAGTAACTCATGGAAAGCAAGAAAAGAGAAACAGAGGAAACATAAAACAAATGATAATGTCAGACTTACACCCAAATATATTAGTAATTACCTTAAATGCAATGGTTCCCAAACACCAATTAAAAGGCAGAGATAGGCAGTGCAGCTTAAAAAATATGACCTAACAATATACACTCTACACAAAACTCACTTTACACAATGAGATAGGTTGGAAATAAAATAACGGGAAAGATATATTATGTAAACATTAATCAAAAGAAAAAGAGAAGGAGTGACTATGTTGAGATCAGATAAAATAGATTTCACAGCAACTACATTTACTAGTGACAAAGAGGAACACTACATATATGCAAAGGATTAATCTACCAGGAAAATATAATCATCCCAAATGATAAAAGGCTCAATCCACCAGAAATATGTGACCATGCCAAATGTGTACACACATTTGACGTGTACCTCAGAGCTTCAAAATACATGAAGAAAAAACTGATGAAACTGAAAAAAGAAACAAAGCCACAATTTGGAGACTTTACTACTCGCCTCTCAGCAAACGAAATGTGTCAGTGATGATCTTCAGTGAAGGTTCAGTAATCTTCAATGATCAGTGAAGATATGGAAGAACAAAACCACACAATCAACCAACAGGATCTAATTGACATATAATGTACATTTCTAACAACAAGAGTAGAATACTTTTTTTTAATCACCCATGGAAGCTTCAAGATAAACAATATCCTGACCATAAAATGAACTTCAACCAATTTAAAATAATTGAAATAATGCAGAGTATGGTCACTGACCGTGATGAACCAAACCAGAAATCAGTAACAGAAAGACCACAGGAAAATCTCAAAAACTTAGAATTTAAACAACATGTTTTGAAATAATCCCTGGGTCAAAGATGAAGTCTCAAGAGAAATTATAAAAAATGTCAGAGGCCAGTCTTATTTTTATTCCTTTGAAACTAATGTGCTTTGACTCATAGCTTTGTAAAAACTTTTTTCTTTATCCTTGAACTTTAGAAAATTCATCAAATTTGTGCATCAATCATTGCTACTGCCATAATACCTAATTCATAAATTTTGATAGAATCATGACAAACTCTTCCAATCTATTGGTACAGAATTATTTTGTTGTTTTGTTTTGTGTTCGATTCATTTTCTTCTTACATCATTCCTTCTTACTTTCTTATTCATCTGCTTTTTTTCTATACCCGATTCCTCTAGCTTTTCCCCTCTGATCAGTTTTACTGTGTCACCTTTTCCCTGTGTGTTCTTAGAGAATACTGCATGTTTGTTCTTTAAGTCAATAATTCTAAGTGAAGGAGAGAGGTTTGTAATCAATCAATAATGTTATTCACTGCATCCAATGAAAATTCATATTTCTATCTTCATCTTAGCTAGCTCCGTTTTTGTAACACACTGCAGCTCAGCCTGGCATTTTCTTCTTATCTTTTATCCTCTCTTTCATAGGGTTCACACATTTTCCTCTATTTATGCAGATATAAACACATCATGAGATGCTCCCCATGAAAACACCCTCTCAAGGTATGCAATGTCCTCCTCTCTGTGGTTGGGGGATCAGTCCTTGTTCCATACTGGGTTTGATAACTGGCTTTGCTGTCCTTTTGTTTCTTACTCCCTGATTCCAGCAAGGGCAAGCTAGTACTGGTGCTTTGCATTGCTCAGAATCCTCCCTTACCAGGGTGCCCCTTTACCTTCACTCGGGTACCACCAGATCTTCTCTCTCAAATATCTCAAATATACCCAAAGCTCTCAAGGGCATGTTGAAGGTTATGGATGCCAGCCGAATTCCAACAGCCAATGCTGTTCATTCAGTAGCTCTATTACAGATCAGAGATTTTCCCCTGTTCTCATGCTCATACTCTCTCATTGTGATTTGGAGATTTTAGCAGGTTTCTCATTTCATCAAAAGCAAAGCAGGAAAATCTACCATGCATGTCATCCACTGCTCCCAGGTTCATTTCATCTCTGTCCCATCATCCTAGCATGCAACATGCACCACCCTTCTCCTTCCTCCCTGGGGTTTGCAGCATACTAATGAGTTGTGGCCCTCCAGGGGATTCCAAAAGAGATATACAAATGGGGAGAAAAGAAAGTCAAGAGCTCTTTCTTGTTCTAATACAGAACAGTCCTCCCCTGACACCCAGTAGCCAGGTATCCATCAGGTTCCTTCCTAGCAGTGAGAAGGTGAGTGTGGATATCTCTAAACTGACTCCTAACTTACACTTCTGTCTGTTTTCCTGCTTCAGTGGTCAGAATATGAATCAGCTGGGAAGTTTATCAGTTTAACCCAGTGGTTCTCAAACTTGGTTACCATTAGAATCACCCAAAAACATTAAAAATGCCTGCTGTTAAAGACTTACTCCAAATCAACCAAATCAGAATCTTTGGATAAGCAACATAAATCAATATTTTTTAAATGCTTAAGTGATTCCAATGTACAGACAGTTTAATGACCATGGATCTGGCTTGTTCATGACATTGCTGAGGTTAATTCCTCCCACATGGTGGCATTTCATTACTGGCATGCCAAGGTTTGGATGAAATTTCAATAAGTAGTTGAAGAAGTTTAACCTTTACAACTGCTATCATCACCACCCACAACCACCCCCAATAACACAAAATAAAATAATACTTTATCCCTTTTCATTTTTACTCTATCAGAGGAAGATACCTTCCTATCTACTTAAGCACTTCTATTTAATCTTCTGTTTTCACTTATTCTGTTAATCTTATTAAAAGAAATTTCCTCTTAGGTTCATTATTTTATATCTTTATTTAATATTTTAATTTAACAAAATTATGCCAACTTAAAAGGTCCTAATAACGAAAGAAGCAAGTACATATTTTGCTGCATATTTATCTTTATTTTAGAATGTAATTATCATAATGGAATGTACTATAGTAACCCTAAAATATAGTGCAAAAGCAAATTCACTTAAATGACCTATTTATTGAATACCTATGAATAAAGACTTTAGAAAACACAAACATCAGTAGTATAAACACCTTCCATGAAGTGTTTACACTTTTATTAACAAAGGAATGTAAACAAATAATGATAATGTGAAGTATCAACTGCTCTAATGACTGTCTTAGTCTGTTTTCTGTTGCTATAATAGAATACCTGAGACTGGGTTATTTATTTATTTATTTATTGAGACTGTCACTCAGGCTGGAGTGCAGTGATATTAGCTCACTGCAACCTCTGCCTCCCGGGTTCAAGCAATTCTCCTGCCTCAGCCTCCCAAGTAGCTGGGATTACAGGTGCCCACCAACACGCCCAGCTAATTTTTTTATTTTTAGTACAGACAGGGTTTCACCATGTTGGCCAGGCTGGTCTCGAACTCCTGAGTTCAGGTGATACACCTGCCTCAGCCTCCCAAAGTTCTGGGGTTACAGGAATGAGCCACCATGCCCAGCTATGAGACTGGGTAATTTATAAAGGAAAAAAGTTATTTCTTACAGTGTTTGGAGTCTGGGAAGTCCAAGGGCATGGCAACAGCAATAAGTAGCCCACTCCTGAGACACTGACATTAATTCATTCATGACAGAGGAGGCCTCATGACCCAAGCACCTCTCAAAGGTTCCTCCTCCCAACACTGTTACACTGCGGACCAAGTTTCCAACACACAGACTTTTGGGAGACACATTTAAAATACAGCAATGACCTAACACAGTGTCTGGGAAATATCTGTCATTATATGAATGCTTGATAGAAATAAATATATGGATGAATTTCATAAGCAAATAACTGTGGGAGAAGAAAGAGAAGCCACTAACTCATCCTGCAGGGGTGGTGAGTATTCCAACAGAGGTGATGTCTGAGATGGGCCTAGAAAGTTAAGCAGAAATGCTTAAGGTGATGCAGGAGAAGACAGGCAGTCTCAGCAGAGGCAATGCAGCTACCAGGCTCACAGGGATGGCAGGGCAGTGATGCAAAGGCCAGCTACACGGAGGGGAAAGTGAGGGGCCATAAGCGAGACATGAGGCTGAGAAGATAGGTCAGGAGCAGCTAGCTGTCTCCTAGAGAGAAAGGGCCAGCCTGGGTTCTAAGAAAATAGCTTCTTATCAAGCGGCCTGCATCAGGGTTCAGAAATCTCTAATATTAGAATGTGTACATCTGCTGAAACCTCATCAAAAACCATTGTCATGAGAAGTGTGATATATTGTCCGTGTAGTATAATGATCCGTTCATTCACTTGTTATAGCCTGAATGTCCCCTGAGCCTGGTGCTGTGCGACTGCTGAGACGAACAGGGAGCAAGACACAGCTTCTGTTTTCATGGGATTTACTGAAGTTCCACATTGGGGCAAGGTTTGTTTCACTCTAAGTATTAAGCTAATAGTTCTAGCTCTGTCCATTTCCCACAGGAACAAGCAAGCATCAAGGGATGTGATGAAATATTTTCATCAGAACCCTGCTCGTGGGAGTTCTTTATCAATATTTTGATAATAACTGCCAACACACCTTCCTGTGGTGCTATGTATTGTATATTCCCAATTTATTGCACAAACCTTCCTTTCCCATGATGATGCATCAACAAGTCAAATTAGAATTTATCTGTTTAGTCTCAAGTTTTTAAAACAACCTCTCTCTGCTTAATTCCTTCTACTTTAATTTTCCATTTCTGAAACACCATTGAACTAGCCCTCTGGAAGTCACCAGCAAAACGTCTGCATTCTACTTCTTCTGGATGACCCTGAAATATTTCATTTTTCCTGCCCATCCATGTGAAATTCTGCCCTCCACTGGCCTCTGTGCCAAGATCTTCTTACCTCAAGGGCTACAGAACCTTTGTCCTCTTCCCTCTGTTCTACCCATAGCCTTCTTCTGTTCTGAGCCTGTGTCTGACCCGTGCAGGATCTCACTTTACCAACACCTTTATCTATCATTTGTTATTAATGTTAGAACTTAGGTTACCTATGACTGCTCTACCAAACTTTTCTCTCCAGTTTTCTGAATCCTACGCACATTTTCATCTATGTATGTGAACCAAACTAGCATCTCTAATCCTGCACAAATCACCTCGCCCCTTCCTTGAAAACATCTCTTCTCCCTGCCATTTCTTATAATGTCATCAGTACTGAACTCTAAAATGCTCAGGTTTATATTTTAGTTTCTTAAAATCTTTTTTATTCCCATCCCTAGTGCCTCAATCTTTTCTCCCATCTGTCTGAAATTTATCATTTTTTTCCTCTGGATTCATCCTGGCCTTAACCTCAAAATTGTGAGCAGTATCCTTCCAATAGGTCATTAAATTACAACCAGTCTTCTCCCTTTAATCAGTGGCTTCCAGATCATTCTTCCTAACATATTACATAGATTATGTCATTCTTATTCTCACATATTGGTAAAGCCTGTCCATTGCTTACTAAAGTCCATACTCTTCATCATGTCAGTCAAAGCCAAGCAGCATTTGATCTTAAACAATCTTTCCAAAGAGATCAACAATTATCCCTCTACATTCAGCTTTATGATGAGGTGAAACTGGACTGTTCCATATAAGCTGAACATACACTATAATTGTTATTGCATTGCTAAGACCTAGAATGGCTTTCTGACCTCAGTCAAACTTCTGCTCATTGTTCAAGATCCAGTGTTAATGACTTCCCCTCTGTGAACCATGCTGTATTCATGCCCACCAGAATGACATCTCAGTTTGATGTAGTAGAAAAGCAAGAGTTTGTTATCAGCTAGACCTAGAATCCAGTCATGGCCCCATTATTACCTTGCTCAGAGCCACAGCTGATAGGCGATGTTTTCTGAAAATCAGTTTTCTAATCAGTAAAGTAGGCAAATATTGTCTATCTTACAAAATTGACATAAAAATCAGATAAGACCATGGATGTTAAATATCTAATGAAGTTCTTGATACACTTCAAATATGTTAGAAATGTTATTCTGCTGTCCCTACTCTGTATGACTATTGTACTATTTTTGTACTTCTCTTAGTCACGTACATTTTTAACTTTTACATTACCTATTAGCATTCCAAAATAATTACAATGCCACAAAATAATTAAATTTACTTTGTTAAAAAACTGGTGTAGAAGGAAAAATAAATATGGAAAAATAAAGTATGATTGAAATAAAGTGAGAGCATATTAGAAAAATTGTTTAGTGTTGATGTCTATGTGAATTAATGTTTCAACAAATACATTTTGTGAATAAATTGTGGTGGACATGGCCTGTTGCTTATACTTCTTGTTTCTTTCCTTTCTTTAAAAAAGAAGCTAAATTAAATTAACAAATTATAATTTATCCCACCTAAGTGAAATAAATAAATATTCACTTAAACCAGTAAGTTAACTCTGGATACCAGAAATGGACCTGTGCCATTTACCAAAATAAGAAAGCATAGATAATGAATCAATGATCAACATAAATAACTGATGAATTGAGGGCTCAGCATAAATCAAAATGTGATGTTCATCTTCCCAGTGATAAGGAGGAGGGACAGTCTGTATTCTCTATTACAGTATTCCATATAATATTGTCTTTAAAAGGTAAAATTTTTCTTGCTTCTGTAAGATATTAAGTCACAGAATAAAATAATTTTAGGAGAGAACTCTCCAGTCACATTTTGTTCCCCTCATCCTACAGATGAGGTTACAGGTTCAAGAAAATAAAGACATTTAATGACACACAAAGGGAAAGACAGCCTACAACTTGGTATTGTGTTTAGACACGGATTGGTTGCCAAGTAGAAACCTTCTCATTGCCCCTCACATTTCTATTCAGAAACTTTTCTGTTTCTTTCACTTTTAAAAACATTGTCTTTTGAAAGTAGTGAATTACAATGCATGAAAAATAACATTACCGTATTGTCTCCAGTCCACAGTAGGGGGTAGGTGCTGCCACAAAATAAGGTTGTTTAGATGATTTAAGTAGGAAGGTAGGGAATGAAAACCCTTCTGATTATACCACACCTAAAAAAAGAAAGATAATTTAATGGCTCTCACGAAATTAGCTCGTAAGTCTGTTTGTCAACTATTCTGGGATTTAAGGAACGTATGTGTCAATTAACTTCCAAGGCACCTGAGTGCAGGATTCAAAGTAATGTTCCTGCATGGCTGACAGTGAGCAGTCAATTCTAGTCTGCTAATTTTATATTTATCTCCAGCATATAATTTACAGCTAAAAATAGATTAATTTTCCCCAGAACAAATGTGAATGTTGCTCTATAATTATTTTCTTATAAGAATAAAGGAACCAAACCCTATCATTTTTTTTTCTTTCTCAGTTAGTAAGCTACTGAAATTTGACCTGCAAATTAAATGTGTGGAAGATTATCAGAAAAAAAATGATTACTTTCAAATTAATAACTGAACATGGAACATTATTTCTCAAAATAAACTGAACTGAACATTTGCTGAGCATGGAGAATAAAGTAGCATGCCTGTCAAGAGAAAGGTGAAAATAAGAGAAAGACAATGTTATTAAAGCTGGAATGAGAAGCATCATAAAAAACACTAATCAAACCATCAGTATCTATATTTCAAAGTATCAATATTTTAATAAAAATGAAAATATATTATTAATTTGAAAAGCAAGTGAGTGTCTTCAAGAAGTATGATGACTCCAACTGATGCATTTTGGTCTTAATTCAATTGACTGAACAGCTCATTTCTCTAGAAGAGGCTGCCTTTTGTGACAGATAATCCGCTTGGTAGAATTACCGCTGCCTCACAGCAAGTTAAGGCTTGGGGGAACCTATTCAAGTTATCGTAGTTTATGCAAACTTTGGACCAGATCTCAAATCCCTTCCAACTTGAGGGCTTCCAATCTCTTTTCTTTCCACCCCTTCATGCTATAACTAATTATTTTTTAACCAGAGACTTGTGTGGCAGCTATTGTGTTTGTGGAAACAGCTAAGTAATAAAATATTGATCATATAGTTAAAAAACCAAAAAGAGAAAAAAAAAAAACAAAACCCTACTACACAAGACAATGTTCCCCAATTCCTTCTCAAATAGCCTACCTCTTCAGGCAATTCAGAATGCAGATCTCATCTTTCACACCACTCATTTTAAAATATTTTCTTAAGTTCACAGAGAAATCCTTGCCAATCATTTTTTTAAACCCCAAGGAGAAGAAGTGCAGCTTGAGACCCACTAACTACAGAACTGTGAGTGTTCAAAGCTATGTCTAAACAGAGTGGGATTTTGTGACCAAAACAAACAAACAAAAAAACTACAGCAACATAGACACAATTCTCCAAAGTAGGGTAAATTCCAAGTTCCTTTGATGGAAAAGTCAAAAGTGAACTGAAGGAGTTTATGTCATATATCAGAGGTGTGTCCATGTCATCCACCCACACAACTCTGTACTGTCACCCTTTGGGGTCTCCCCCATGCCACCCTGCCCCCTCACACACAGACACCTACACAGGCACTAGCCAGATTTCTGGAAATGATAGAAACTCAGGATTCTGTTGAAGTTAAGGGACAGGCTAATCTGGTAGAAAAGCCCACTGCCTATGGAAAGTGGAACCTCCCACTAGCCTGGTCTGTGACCTCCTTCTCCCCCAAGTCTTGATTCCCTTAACTGTTCAAATTTAGGGAAAAAATAGAAGACACAAGGATAGTCCCTGCCCTGAATTAAGGTTTTTTAAATTTTGTTTTGATTTGTTTTATTATTTTAATTTTTGTTTTAAAAGTAGAGTGATTAAAAAAAAAACTTAAAAATGACACCACACTACAGTACAGAAACAAAAACAGAGCTTCTTTGGCTGAATGGAGCTGGAAAGACAGGAGGCTGCCTGCTCAGCCTCCCTAGTTTCACCCTTTGTAGATTCTGAGACTTCTGTTTGTGTTTGTTTGTTTTTTTTGTTTTGTTTTGTTTTGTTTTTTTTTTGAGACACAGTTTTGCTCGTTGCCCAGGCTGGAATGCAATGGCATGATCTCAGCTCACTGCAACATCTGCCTCCCGAGTTCAAGCAATTCTCTTGCCTTAGCCTCCTGAGTAGCTGGCATTACAGGCATGTGCCACCACGCCCGGCTAATTTTGTATTTTTAGTAGAGATGGGGTATCTCCATGTTGGTCAGGCTGGTCTCGAACTCCTGACCTCAGGTGATCCGCCCACTTTGGACTCCCAAAGTGCTGGGATTACAGGCATGAGCCGCTGCACCGGGCCAAAACTTCTGTTCATGATTGTATTAAGGGCCCTAGTTCTTCACCATCCCTGTATCCACATGCTTTGCTATATGACTTTCATGCCCTCCCATTCTGATGCTGTGCTTGGCCATGTGACTTGCTATGGCCAATAGAATGTGGCACAATTGAGAGGCACATGTATGTTCCTGAAGTCTCCCTTATGCCTCTGCTATCATCAGATGCAACAGTGGAGCTGAGACCTCCACTGTCATCCCAGCTGAAGCCAATACCACACACATGTTCATTCCTGGCCAAGATCAGCCCAGCCCAGTCTGCATTAGCAAAACCTCACAGACCCGTGAGCTAAATGAACATCCATTGTGGAGGCCACTGAGCTTTGAAATTGTTGTTATAGAGCATTATTGTGGCAATAGAGTACCAATATAGTGATTTACACTGGAATGGGGTGTTACTGTACCAAAAACCGAAAATAGTTGGCGTTGCTTTTGATACTAGCAAGTTGGGGGACAAAGAGACAATTGAGAAGCCTGGAAATACATGATAAAGTATTTAGGAATACTGGGGAAAAATAATAAAAAACAAACTGCTATAAATAATTGAAAAAAGGGTGACGCATATTACAGTGTGAAAACAGTGGGTAATGTCACCTGTATTAACTTCAAAGATGGAAATGGTGCCCAATAAACATCTTGACCTGGGTACGGAGCTCTCTTGAGAGAATGTTGAAAGACATGGCCTCAGAAGAAAGATCAAGTCAAGGGTGCAATTGTAAGAACTTTGTTGAGATCTTCAAAGAATGATGCTGCTAAGAGACTCTCTCAGGGAGACACAGGGCTTTTAGGAACCTAAAGGGTGTTGTCCTCTAGTATTCTGGCATTCCCCAAATGCCACTAATTAATTTTAGAGAGAGCAGCATATCTCAACAAGATCGTGAGAGTAGCTTGTGGATCTCAGTTAGAAAACTAGAAAGCCTAGGGTGCTTTATAGGAAGCTATATCAAGAAGGTACCCCAGGCTGGAATACATGTAAAATGTAAATAGCTCTAAGAACCCAGCTGTCCACAGGCAGGAAGCAGGCTGAGAGCTACTCAAAAGGCATATTTTAAAGTATCTTCACACATAGCTATGGAGGGCAATGGAAGGGGAAGCACCTGGCAGAGTAGAGTTAAGGGTCATTGCAGATGATGAGCTGGGGAACATTCCAAGGATGTAGAACCAGGGCCTGGATAAAGAGCATCCCAAATTCCCCACAGATAGTGGGGCCTGGCACCATCTGTTATGCACAGCCCACAGCAGCACAATCCCACAGACTCATGAGCGAAATGCATGTTTACTCTTGATGCTACTAACGGTTTGCAGTTGTTTGCTACATAGCATCATTTTGGCAATAAATGATTGACTTGCAGAGTTCCAAGGAACAGATTTTAAAATGTTCTGGAACTCCTGATCGGTTCCTTTATAAACTGGCCTTTACTTGAGAAAGGTTTTATAGATTCTTTAAGTAATAAATGCATACTTTGTGATGATCTTAAAGTTACCATTCAGGACTTAACAGAGATCAAAGAAAAAGCTTTTATTTCTTTCTTTTTCTTTTTCTTTTTCTCCCAAGAATGGTTTTCTAAAACTAGGCTGTGTTCTGGAAATAAGCTGTGGGATTTCCTTCCCTACCAGTCCATAAGTCACGAAGTGATAAAGTCCAATAATGAAATAGGAAATTAATCTTCTTTTAGGAACATACTATGACACCTCAAAACAGACCTTTCATCTCAGGAATAACAGCCCCTCCAAAAAGTAACTAAGCAGCTATAAGAAAAAAAAAACTCTCAGTGGATATTCAAATATATAAAATTCCATGGGAGAACAGAACTATGAAAAAAACGAAAGTGAAAATGTGTTTGGCTTCTTTAACTGAAGTGTGTAAGTTCTAAAGAGTGTTTTGATTAAACAAGCTAAACACTCAAGATGTGAATGATAGAACTCATAAAGGTCACACAAGAGACATTCTACAAGATATTGAACCATACATTAAGCCTATTCATATGCAAATTTTTCATGTTTTCCTTCAGAAGGACTATGAAATCATATCATCTATGTCGATGAATGTAGCCTAAGGGCTGAAAGAAAAAGCCGGTCATTACAGAAAGATAAATGCAATCATTTGAAGCAGTATCAGCCGCCAGCAGTTCTGGTATTTCAAATAATAGATTGCCCTTTACACCCCACAACAATGTTGAGTTCCTTGGCTTGCTGGAGAGGAGCTCAGTCCCCAAAGGGTCAAGTATAATTCACCTGCATGCTTGTGCCTGGTGAAGGACACGTAAATAACATTAAAAACTTCAGCAATCACCACTCAAACATGTCAGTACAGAAGACTCATCTAAACAAAGACAAAAAGTTAGAGATGTGAGGAGAACACACAAATCCCCAGCCACTCATCACTGAACAAGAGGTCCGTGCCTCAGACACTTCAAAGCAAAGACACAACCATCTCCTATGAATACGTAAGAAGGGTTTAGATTGGGATAGACTAAAAAGTCGGAATATTTGTAGAGGAAATGAACAGATTCCTTCTACTAATTAGGTATATTTTCATAATGGCCACATAATGTATTCCAATATATGTCAGCAAATACATTTTATTTTTCTATCAAGTTATTAATAATGATATTTTCATATCAAGCTTTAAATCTTCATGAATGTGTGTTGTCTTTAGAAGGAAAAGAGATTTGAACAAACCTCAGCTGTTGGAGAGATTCCTGAATCGTCCACACTATGACTGGAAATTTTTCCCAGATTACATCGTAATACATGACTGTTAAAATTTTGTTTAGGGATTACATTGTGAAGTATGACTGTCTCATCAGGGATGACATTGTGAAGCACCTGTAAGAACTTTTATTTCACTGAATAAACCTCCAACATGTGCATGTCTTTATCCCAATAAGCTCCTTCAGGTTCACATGAACCATGCAAGTCCCCACTACAGAAGAGAGAGAGTGCCTTCCTGGGCTCATGGAGATTGTTCTTGTTCTCATAGCTCCACAATTGGCTCATGAGTAGACACAACATCCACACACTACAGAATGAAATGTCTATACTGATATCCTAATAAGAACTCACACTCACTCTCCCGCAGTGGACTTAACTTCCTCCCACAATCTACCCTTTTCTGATTTCTCTCTCAATCAAACACAATACTATTTCTCCAGTCATGGAGACTGAATGCTTTGAATCTTTCTGCTTTCCCCATTTTAAGGTAGTGTTGACTTTTTTCCTTAAATAACAACTCACTGTTGGGTTCACCACTTCTCTATTCCTACTGATGGATCAAGGCATCTTTCCTCTATCCCAGTCCTCATTCTCTCAAAGCTGAAGAATCTCCCACCTAGTCTCTTTAATTCTAAGGGGACCATTCCTAATTCACAGGTATAGTCCTGGCAGGGCTTGAAAATCCAGGACTCCTAAGAGTAGCTCTGTGTAACTGCTGCTTTCTTTGTGTCATCTCCAGGCCTATCTATCCAGCCTTCTGGAAGATAAGGCATTTACATTCATGAATGGAAGTACTCCTTGGCCAGCAAAGAAACTAGTGATATTTCCAATTATGACAACTGTGGGTATCTTTGAAAATAGATTTTTTCCTCCACTTTATATTTACTAGGTGAAGTCCTGTCTTAACAAAAAGCAAAAACCTATTTCCTCGATTTCTAAAGAAAAACAAGCCATTTTTTTTCAAGACAATGTTTACATATAATTTTCCTTGATGCTTAGTAACAAATGATTGGATTTAATCTGGTCCTTCTGAACCCTGTGCTCAAAATTATATTTGAATGTTGAGTTTTCCTAAATACTTTCTAAAACAGGAAAAAAATAAAAAAATATGATTACCTTTGCCAGAGTTGGGGGTTTTGATATGTTTCCATTTGCACCTCCAGCTTCACTGGGGATTTTTAATCCAAAAGACCAACCTCCAAGCCTGTTAACAATGAACATTGTGTTAGTGCTTCAACCACAGAGCACCAGGACTTCTAATCAGAGGGTATTCATTACTAACCCCACCAGGTACAGCAGTCTTAGGACAGTAGCCAACTGAGCATCTGTGGTCTGTGACATGAACACACAGGCAGACAGGTGCTGTGCTGATGCAAGTTTCCTGGCTCCCAAGCCAGGCAAAACGGAAGGCACTGATAATTGAGAAGGTGTGGATAAGGCTGGCCACATTAGAAAGTGTACTTGTCACACCTTACTGTCTTGTTAGGAAATACATGCCATGTAACAGGTAGGGCTTGATCATCAGCACTGTTATTATTTTAATTAATGGTCATTCCCTCTACAAATCCATTATTCAGAATTTCTTGGGCTAGGTGTGGTGGCTCACACCTGTAATCCCAGCACGTTGGGAGGCCGAGGCAGATGGACCACCTGAGGTCAGGAGTTTGAGACCAGCCTGGCCAACATGGTGAAACCCTGTCTTTTTCTGTATTTTGTAAAAATACAAAAAAAAAAATTAGCTGGGCATGGTGGCAGGCACCTGTAATCCCAGCTACTCAGGAGGCTGAGGCAAGAGAATCGCTTGAACCTGGGAGGCGGAGGTTACAGTGGACATCGTGCCACTGCACTCCAGCCTAGGCAACAGAGCAAGACTCCATTTCAAAAAAAAAAAAAATTTCTTAATAGTGGTCATAATCTTTTGAGCCACTCTGGTTTGTCTTCCCTACTCTATTTCTTTAATCTTTCACTCAAATCTTGTCTGGTTTAGGAAAGCATTCCAGACAATTTCAAGTGGGTTAGATGTTCCTTGTCTTTTGAGTTCCCACAATACCCTGTATTTCCATCCATTGTTATCAATTACCACACTGGGTTTTATTGTCTATTTGCTGGTTTATCTTTATGTAGCTCTGTGAATTTTTCCTGGGTGGGAATTATATCTTTTTTTAATATCTCCATGAGTTGCACAGTATCTTGTATCTATTAAACTTCAAAAAAAGGGTTAACATTTAAAAAAATATAATGTTAACTATTATCTAAATAAATTTTGTCTTCCACTCACTAGATAAAAGGAGACTGAAGAATAGTCTTCTCTTCTATCACAGTGTTCTACTCTCAGCAAAAATTCAGGCAAAGGAATAAGTACACATTCCCAACTGGCTCAACTGAATACACTCATTCATTCAACAGATACTGGTTGAACATCTTTGATGTGCCAGATAATATTCTAAGTTCTGGGCACACAAGTTCCCACCTTCAAAAAGCTATCGGCTCATGCCTGTAATCCTAGCACTTTGGGAGCCTGAGGCGGGAGGATCACCTGAGGTCAGGAGTTCAAGACCAGCCTGACCAATATGGTGAAATCCCATCTCTACTAAAAATACAAAAAAATTAGCCAGGTGTGGTGGCAGGTGCCTGTAGACCCAGCTACTCGGGAGGCTGAGGCACGAGAATCTCTTGAACCTGGGAGGTGGAGCTTGCATGCTGTAAACTTATCTGCTCTTATTTCCTAAAGCAGTAAAACAGCTTCTGGCTCTCGTGCTTCTGCCACTGACAAATCTCAATTGATAGGATTTCCCCCAGCACTTAAAAGAGTGAAAGTCAGCAGTAAGGAATCTTATTAAGGTCCATGGCATCTATGTGGAATTTTTTTTGTTTGTTTTTGTATTCAATTAGACTTTATTATATTTAAATATTAGAAATGGATGAGAAACAGATGACAAAACTATTTGTCTACTTTCAATGTAAAAACATGGACACAGGAAGGGGAACATCACACACTGTGGAATTTTTATGAGCACCAAGGTCAGTCTTAGATTTTTGACTTTTTAAGAACATTAGCATTTAAAACAATAAGTTTTCCATAGTAATCCAAACAAGTAAAGACCCAACAAGAGTATTGAACACACCTTGGTTTTTCAGATGGTGCCAGCAAGTACTCCTCCATATTGAAGCCTGAGAGATTCAACAGTGTGTGGCCCAGGTGGTTGGTCAGGTAGGGAGCACTAGCACTTCTATTTGGACACTTCTGAAATTGTTTTCAAAAAGATAAAAACAAACTTTTTTATAATTCACAAACTGGTTCACTGACATTACTTGAAACTACATGTGATTGTTCTCTAGCTTTCAATTTTTAATAAATTATCTGCAGCCCTTTATATGTTCTAATTTCTAAAATCTCTTTCAGTCACATGTATTTGAGAATTATGCCAGAATACCACTGTGACTTATGCAGTCAATTATATCTGAGAACTTCAAATCCTTTTCTGTATGTAAGTTTGGGCAGATTTATAAAAACTAAAAAGAAAAAAAATGTTTTCACTGGGGTGATCTTGCATTTGACGAACCTGAAAGAGAGTCAGAAACAACTAGTGGGAGGAAGATAAGCAGGATAATTCAAAGGCGTGTGTCTCTTTCATAAGGGTCTAAAGTAGAAATCAAACAGCTTTTCTCCAGCGACTCACCAGCATGCCAACACCAGCTCTGCATCATGGAATAATCACCTAACAAGGTAGGAGGAGGTGATCAACACAACGCAAAACCCAGGCCACTGGAGGCTGCGCAATGATGTGCTCTGCCCTGCCACAGACCGGCTTTAGAGTTAATGTGCTTTGTTTCCATTTCTCAAACACTTTCAGAAAAGATGATATATTAAAATAGGAAACGACTCTGTCTCTGAGTCTTTTGTTATCAAAATGCCAGGGGTTTGGTCTTGCTGCACAGAAAGCCAATCACTGAAACAATGAGTGTTGCCAGGGAGGAAGCTTTTAGCTGAGTTCTGCAGCTGAGGAGAATGAAAGAGAAAGTCTCAAATCCATCTCCTCAACCATCTAAAACTGGTGGGGGTTATATGGAGGGGAAAATGGGAAAACAGGAAAGAAGGAGGGGTAAGGAAGCAATCATGATGGATAAGACGTCTGGAGTCTCATTTTCTGAACTCAGAGATCTAACGTATTTCAGTCCCTTGCCTGAGGATCAGTTTCTTGAGGAAGAAACTCAGGTGAGAGAAATGTAAGTTTCAACTTTTAAGACCAGGGAGGGTCCATTTCTATGTTTATTCGAAAATCCATAAATATTACTTCTAAGAGACATTTGGGCCAGTTTCACATTCATTACAGCTTTGGAAGCTTGTCTGCTTATTTGCAAAATGAAAATGAAAACAGGCTTACCTAAATGCATGGATTTGCTGTTAGGTTCAGATACACATGAAAGAACTACAGCAAAGTAAGAAGGGCGATATGCATTTAAGATACTACTTTCAGGGTCTTGAAAGAAAGGCTTGAGGAAAGATACTAAAAAGAATAATAATTGTTGTACATAATAATTCAGCAAGACTCTCACTTATTTGTGGAATCTAAAAAAGTCAAACTCATAGGAACAGAGAGTAAAATGGTGATTGGCAGAGAGGATGTTGGTCAATGGATACAAAATTTCAGCTAAACAGGAGGCAAAAGTACAAGAGATCTATTGTACAACATAATGACTACAATTAGTGACAATGTATTGTACCTTGAAAATTGCTAAAAGAGCCAGTCGAGGGGCTCACACCTGTAATCCCAGCACATTGGGAGGCGGAGGTGGGTGGATCGCTTGAGGTCAGGAGTTTGAGACCAGCCTAGGCAACATGATGAAACCCCATCTCTAATAAAAATGCAAAAATTAGCAGGGCGTGGTAGCACAATCCTGTGGTCCCAGCTACTCGGGAGGCTGAGGCAGAAGAATTGCTTGAACCTGGGAGGCGGAGGTTGCAGTGAGCCAAGATGGCACCACTGCACTCCAGCCTGGGCCACAGAGCGAGACTCTGTCTCAAAAAAAGGAAAAAGGAAAATTGCTAAAAGAGTAGATTTTAACTTTGGGAGGCTGAGGCGGGCAGATCACGAGGTCAGGAGATCGAGACCATCCTGGCTAACACGGTGAAACCCCGTCACTACTAAAAATACAAAAAAAAATTAGCCGGGCGTAGTGGCGGCCACCTGTAGTCCCAGCTACTTGGGAGGCTGAGGCAGGAGAATGGCGTGAACCCAGGAGGCGGAGCTTGCAGTGAGCCAAGATCGCGCCACTGCACTCCAGCCTGGGCGACAGAGCGAGACTACATCTCAAAAAAAAAAAAAAAAAGAGTAGATTTTAAGTATCCTCAACACACACAAACACATGCACACAAATAGTAACGTTGGGGCTCAGAAAACAATACCCCAAAATGTGGTGCTTTCACATGCTGAGCTAAAGAAGCTTCAAGGTCTCTCTGACCTCCCTCCTACCCACCATCTCTCCCAAAGCACAGGATGAAGTTGAAATTCTTTACCTAACTAAAATCTAGACTCACCAAGGAGAATGTTTTATTTCTTCTCCTCCCTGTAAGACCAAGAATGTAACCATACCTAAACAGAGAGTGTCTGTTCCAAGATCCATTTATTCTCTATTGCAATCTTTTATTGTCCCAGTACAGAATGCGTCTTCTCCCGCCATAACCTGATTTGCCAGGATCCAAAGCCCTATTCTTTTGGTAAACTTGAGATGATATATAAACTTCTGAACTTCATTGGGGGATAGATAATCACTCTGTAATTCTCCCCCTGTACATGTTAAAAGAATTCATATGCCTTTTCTCCAATTAATCTGCTTTTAGAGTTGATTTTTTAGCAAACTTACAGAGGATGAAGGGCAAGTTTTCCTGTGCCCCTACAATAAGTACATGAGGTAATGCATATATTAAAAAGCTGGATTTAGCCTTTCCATAATGGGTGTGTGTGATTATATATATATATATATAAAATGATATATATGATATATATAAAAATGAAATACTATATATAAATGAAATATTATATATGTATATATAATGATATATGTATATATATCATATCATTTTATGTATTATATATATATCATGATATATGATATGCTGTAACCACAAATATATATAACTTCTGCTTCTCAATTAAAATAAATAAATAAATCAGCCAACCTTGATGAACATAACAACCTCCAAAGTTTCCCTACCTCCAGCTTTCCTCTCTCCAATTCACTTCACCACCCCCCATACTTATCAAGATACATCCTTCTAAAATGGTGTTTTCCATTAGATGATTTTCTTGCTAAAAAAAATTCCAATTATTATCAAGAATTCAGGTCTACTAGAAAATATCCTTGGTCTCATTCTTTTTTTTATTATTATTATACTTTAAGTTTTAGGGTACATGTGCACAATGTGCAGGTTTGTTACATATGTATACATGTGCCATGTTGGTGTACTGCACCCATTAACTCGTCATTTAGCATTAAGTATATCTCCTAATGCTATCCCTCCCCCCTCCCCCCACCCCACAACAGTCCCCGGAGTGTGATGTTCCCCTTCCTGTGTCCATGTGTTCTCATTGTTCAATTCCCACCTATGAGTGAGAACATGCAGTGTTTGGTTTTTTGTCCTTGCGATAGTTTGCTGAGAATGATGATTTCCAGTTTCATCCATGTCCCTACAAAAGACATGAACTCATTATTTTTTATGGCTGCATAGTATTCCATGGTGTATATGTGCCACATTTTCTTAATCCAGTCTATCATTGTTGGACATTTGGGTTGGTTCCAAGTCTTTGCTATTGTGAATAGTGCTGCAATAAACATACGTGTGCATGTGTCTTTATAGCAGCATGATTTATAGTCCTTTGGGTATATACCTAGTAATGGGATGGCTGGCTCAAATGGTATTTCTAGTTCTAGATCCCTGAGGAATCGCCATACTGACTTCCACAATGGTTGAACTAGTTTACAGTCCCACCAACAGTGTAAAAGTGTTCCTATTTCTCCACATCCTCTCCAGCACCTGTTGTTTCCTGACTTTTTAATGATCATGAGAAAATATCCTTGGTCTCATTCTAACCATTATCCGTGTAGGTGTCCCCAAATACACCCTCTGTATTAAACTGAATATTGACCGCCCCCCCACCAAAATATCAGGCCCTCATCTCTGGACTCTTTAAATGCTACTTTGTATCTTGACGATGTTATTAAGTTACAGATCTTGAGTCCAGAAGATTATCCTGGATTGTGACAGTGCACCCTCATGCACTCACCTTGTAACTGAGCTGCTTAGCAGTTTAGCCTCAAACAACATTTTAAAATGTTTTATCCTTTCCCTTTTCCTCTTTCCCCTCCGAGTTTCAAGATGTAGCTCTGAGATAAACTTATAGCCTCGAAATGTTTTCTTTCTCTTTCCTTTCCCACTTCATGCCCCCATGCCTTATGCATATTTATTTACCTAGATGCTTGTTAAGCACATGCCATGCTCACTTACCTGGTCATATATTTCCTTAGAAGTTTCAGAGGACTAGACACCTCTGAAAATCTGTCCCCAACAAAAGATTACTTCAAGGCCAGAACCCATTCCCGGCTGAAGACTAACTACAAGATTGTGATTAGTTTATAACCTGGCAGGATCCACGATGGGGTCAGCCTCTTCACCAAATGAAACAATAATTCAAGATGAACCATTGGAGTAAGTAACCCCTCCTGGGACCTCCTAGCTCCCCGCTCCCCAACCCCCAACCTACCACCCCTGCCTCTTCTGCATTCCAAACCCTTTCTTTAAAAAACCCTGTGTTCCCTCCACAAATTACAGCGGAATTGCTTTCTGCTCTTCCCCTTGCTGGCACATATAAAAAAGTCTTGCTCACTTTTAATCAGCTCGTTATTATTTTGGCCTCTTTCTACAAGCAGCGAGCAGCCAGGCCCTTTTGCTGGTTACAACCTGTGCCACTGTGAGAGGGAGGCAGAGGAGGACTAGACAGAGAAAGAAGGGGAGGAGGCACTGTGACAATGGAGATAGAGATGTGTGTAATGTCACCAGAGGCCAAGGAAGGCCAGAAACAAGAGAAGCTGGAGGAGGAAAAGGACAGATTGTCCTCAAGAGTCTTCAGACACCTTAATTTCACTCCAGTCACACTGACTTCAGACTTCCAGCCTCCAGAACTGTGTGAGAATAAACTCATGTTTTCTTAAGCCACCAACTGTGTGATAATTTATTATCTCAGCGACAAGAAACAAATATGCCCTCCACCTATTCTGTATAAAGCCACACTCAGTCCCGATGACATGTTTTGGGTCATAGTGTTGTTATCCACTGGAGCTCAGACCCTAAAAATCCCTGTTTGTTCTTTAGAGTTAGCTCAATTCCTGTTCCCCTTTAAGCCTTTTCTAACGGTGTCGCTTCCAAATCATGTTTTCATCCTCAGAAGGACTAACCATGGAACCTTTTTGTAGGTTTGGAGACAGCCACAGCATATTTGATAAAACATGAGGAAACAGGTTGGGCGTGGTGGCTCACACCTGCAACCCCAGCACTTTGGGAGGCCGAGGCAGGTGGATGACAAGGTCAGGAGTTCGAGACCAGCCTGGCCAAGATGGTGAAACCCCATCTCTACTAAAAATACAAAAATTAGCCGGGCACAGTGGCGCATGCCTGTAATCCCAGCTACTCAGGAGGCTGAGGCAGAAGAATCACTTGAACCCAGAAGGCGGAGGTGGCAGTGAGTCGAGATCACGCCACTGCCCTCTAGCCTGGGTGACAGAGCGAGACTCTGTCTCAAAAAAAAAAAAAAAAAAAAAAAAATTAAATTGACATGCTCTTGCAGACCCAGGGCTGCTGGATAGCACACATGTATTTAAGGGAAGAGAAATATTTTTCCTTCTAACAAAACACAGTCAACTTGGCTCAACATGAACACTAAAGACCAGAGAACTGGCCTTGGGTCTATAGGCCTTCCTTCCACACAGCTTTGTGTACGTCTCCTTTGAGACAACCCCAAAGAGTAGCCACACCCATTGCTTAGGACTTTCATTAATTCCACCTCAACTCCCTGTCTCCTGAGGTTCTCTGATTTCTAACGTGTGGTCCAACATTTCTCAAAGTGCATCCCGAAACACACTGCTGCCACAAAAGGGAAGGACTCTTGCAGTCAAATTTGCAGAAAATGCTGCATCTACTCCACTGTCAATTCAAGGACAATTTCATTATCACCAAATAGCTTCTTAGAAGAGCTGTGGCAAAGATACCTGCTTAATACTGCTTTATCCAGCATTTGCAAAACGTATTTGACTATGGAACTTTTTCAGATAAAACCTTTTTTCTTACATATTACTGAAATCTCATAGTTTATGTGAGTTGAAGTGAATTTAGGAACATAAACACCAATCATTCTGATATTTACCCACTCTAATCCCAATAGGCCTTAGGTAGCTGGTGGTACTAAAAGCCACTACTATAATAGAATGATCAAATCAAGGCTAGAGAATAAGAGCGTGGTGTAAAAAATCAGAGATCTCATGAGTGCTGAGGCATAGAAAACAATCCCCCAAAATATGGCATTTGTGCATGCTGGGCATTTTTATCAATTGAAAGGCCTCAGAAATAAGCCTCAGAATCAAGGTCCCTGAAACCTTGTCTTGTTCCTCCTCCATTCCAATTCTCTTTGGAATTTCCATATCTGACCAAAAAACTCCTTACCAAAGGAAACACATAAGTCCTCAATCCCCTCCCTGAAATCTCATTATCTATTTCAGAAAAGAAGTGTGAAGAATGCAACCATGCTTGGATGGACTTTTTCACAAGATAATGCCTGACTTTCGGGCTCACTCAAATTCCAGGAGAATCATCTAATTTCTAATCATCTAATCATCTAATTAGAGAGAACCTAATTTCTCTCTCCCTGGCCCATTCTTTCTCTATAACAATCATTTCCTGTCCCTAAAAGAATTATCCACATTTCCCATCTCCTCCTTCCCCTATGAAAAGGGTATAGAAATTTCTGCACCTCTTTGGGGGTTTGGGGTAATTACTCTGTGATGTGATCCTCCCATGCAAATTCACACATTTGTATGGTATTTCCCCAGTTAACCTGCCTTTTGTCAACTGATTTTCAGTGAAGCTTCAGAGGGTGAAAGGGAAATTTGCCCTTTGCCCCTAAAGTGAATAAATGGAAAAACAAGACCAGGGGAAAAAAAACAATAATTATGTATTTAAAAAAAAAGATAACTGATCACTGCAAAGGATCACCAAATGTAGCTGAGTTTATTGACAGCTGGGGCCAAGAGGGAAACATGGAGAGTTCCAAAACCTCTCCCATATCAACCAACACTCTGAGTGCTCACTAAGCGTACTGTGTCACTATTCCCGCTTACATGTGTATCTTTCGTCTAAGAGAAGAAAGCAGACTAGTTCCTCCAAAAGCAAGGCTTCTAAAATCTCTAGAAAAAAGACAAACAAAAAAACTTTTTATCTGAGGAATGTGAGCTCCCTTTAAATAATCAGGCCCAGAGAGGCACTGGAGTGAGATAGCAGTCACACTCCACCCCATCCCCCTTGGGCTAAGCAATCATTTCTAAGCAGCTCGCTATATGGACCCTAGGCTGAGTGCCACCACCAGAGCTATAAAGTAACCTAACAATGCCAGTGAGAATCCCTGACAAACGACTTTTGTAACCACCCACTCTCCTGATTCATTCTTTTTTCTTTAATAAATTATGAGAGAGAAGGAAGGAAGAAACTGGCTAGGCAGATAGTTAGGGCAAGGTCCTCAGCGGCATTTATTTTCTAACAAAGAGCAGCCTGAAAGTTCGGGCTGCAAACATAGATGGGGAGATGAATTCCCTCACAGAAAGGGGCCTCCTGTGTAGTCAGCAAGTTTCACTGACATACAGTGGGCCCCAGTGAGCACATTCCTTTCCTTTTTCGACATACTCACATAAGGAAGCTTGCACGGGGAGCTTGCTTGGAACATGGCTGCAACACTATAGATAAGAAGAGCTAGCCTGGGCCAGGCACATCCACCTTGAAGGGTAATATTGTTTGACTCTATGTCTCCACCCAAATCTCATCTTGATTTGTACTCCCACATGTTGTGGGAGGGACCCCAATGGGAGATAACTGAACACGGGGGTGGTTCCCCCTTATTGTTCTCATGGTAGTGACTAAGTCCCATGAGATATGATGGTTTGATAAGGGGAAACCCATTTCCCTTGGTTCTCATTCTCTCTCTTGCTGCTGCCATGTAAGAAGTGCCTTTCACCTTCCACCATGATTGTGAGGCCTCCCCAGCCATGTAGAGCTGTAAGTCCAATAAACCTCTTTCTTCTGTTAATTGCCCAGTCTTGGGTACACCTTTATCAGCAGCATGAAAATGGATTAATAAAAAGGGTTCCGCCCCTAATGCATGCACAGTAGGAGGAGATAAGCAATATGGAGTAACTTAGGCTAAGGACCTGCATGTACACTAAACAGATGGGGTGGGGACTGCCAGGGATTCGTGCCTTATGGAAATGACACACCTAGTCCTAACCGGTTTTTTGAGCCCTATATAAATGGAGCACCCTTCCCTGCTAGCTTTTTTTATTAAAACTATTGCACTTCACTGCAAAATGACAACGCTTTTTTGAGATCCCTCTCTGCAGCAGAGAGTTTTCTCTCTTTCTTTCACTTATTACATTTCTGCTCTAAGCTCACTCTTGGTGTGTCCACATCCTTGACTTCCTTGGCCATGAGACAAATAACTTCATTTGACACCCTAGACAATAAGGCCATTTCACTTGAGCTTCTTTTTTGTTCTCTAGAGTACTTCCAAAGATAACTTGGAAGTGTGTCCCACATAGCTGTTCTCAACTTTGGCTCAAATAAACTCTCTACCTATATTAATTTGTCTCAGTTTCTTCCCTTAGGTTGACAACTATTAAGGAGAATTGCATCTCATCATCCACTAACTAGGAAGGCCCTGTAAACACGTTCTCCAAATAGCCATTTCCATTACAGATGCTCAATTAACTTCAATATTTTTTTTCTTTTCCCTTTTTCCTATAAATTAGACCTGTCATCATACTTGCTTATTGATTGTGGCTAGCAGGTCTATGCCTTTTATTAATTAGAGTCTGAGATTTTCTTTGAGATGAGTTCCAATCAGTTTTCCAAATAAATTTCAATTTATTCTCCTTCACAGATTAGACAGTGATGTCTCTCACCTCAATAGTGGCACACCTACTTCCACATGTTTTTGTAAGAATCAACCATAGTCAGAGAGCTAAGGGGCATCTTAGCTGTTAATATCTAGCCCAAATAAAAATATGGCAAGAACCTTGAGGTCATGCTGCCTTGAAATTTAGAAAAATTTCCTTCCTTAGGGCAATTCTAGCTTCTTTATCATTACTTGAAGAATAGTCATTTTCTTAATGAATGCCAGGGGAATGTTAAAGACCAAAGGCAGAAGGCAATGAAGGAGAGGGGCACTGTCAATCTATACAGCATCTGTGTTCTATAAATATTCACTTTATGTGACAAAACTTTTCCCAGAAACAGCTAATCCAGGAAACCAAAAAGTTATAAAGACACAGTTACAAATATGAAAATTTTATAGATAGGGTAAACTCATTTTTGTCACTTGAATTTTAGACTTAAAAAGATCAAAAATGCTGCAGAAACCTACCAGGCAGCCACATGAATCCTGGAATTCTGGGTGAGAAAAGGGATCTGTGCGCCAGCATGAAGAATTCTTCCTAAAAAACAAAGGAGAGAATTGGAATGATCTTTTAGATTTACAAAGCCATTGTATTTCCATAAAAGAGAGTTTCATCAGACTAGAACAGAGTTCACAAGATAATCATCTCCCACTGCCGAGAAGGCAGAGCTCTTACATTTGTTTTCACAGCTTGAGCTGTTAATCTGATGACAATGTTTTATTACAACGCCAGCATTTCCATTATATTACATGGGGCTCACTTTTCTTACTGTACTGAGTGTATCACAGGGCTCCCTAGGACTTTCACGGTGCGGCTGGGGCTCCTGGTGGAAACTGAGGCTTGCAGTCTCATAAACAGGTACCAAGAAGCAATTAATAAACAGCAAGACGTCAATTCCTTTTTGTGGCATGACACAGTAATTCAATAATCACTTAAGGAAAAACAATTTTTAAATTTCCTCTTTAAACCTTTTTGGTTAAACTTTCTGTTGCAGAAAGATTGTGCAACAGAAACAGTTATGAAAACCATTTGTAGCAGTGGTTCAAAAACACATTTGTATTCCACAGTTTCCCTATCATTTCTATTTCCTTATGAGTCCCATACTTTAAAATATTTTTTCTAGCATTTGGAAATCAAACTTTGTTTCAGTAATGATAATTACTCTTAATTACTCAAAAATTGGAAAAGGAGGAAGAAAACTAGCATTTACCGAATTACAAGCACCGGCTAGATATTTTTACCACCATCCTTACTAGCCCTGCTTTTCAGAAGAAGAGGTGGGGTCCAGAGAGGTGAAGCAGCTGTCGAGATCCCAGCTCTATGCAAAGTGTGTGCTGCTCCAATGAGAAAGCCAGTATGATAACACCAATTGAAGAAAGCCTTGCCCAGTGAAAAGAAACTTGCCATTTCTATTAACCAGGTTAGCAAAGTACAATGTCTACGTAATTTTTGAAACAACAAAAATAACGTAAAGATTTCTCCACACTTTGTTGGCTGACTAGCTTATAGGGACTCCAGTTTGAAACTTAAGAGTTTACATGGAAATAACACCTAAGAGAGTTACGTATTTAATCAGAGTACTGTATCTGATATGTACTTTTAAAAAAAATTCCATTTATACTTCTGAAACTCAGCAGGCCTTTCTTCCTTCAGATGCCTTAGATGATGGTTAACAAGTGTTTATAATTTAATATATGACTTCAAAAAGTCTTCTTTTTCTCTTCCAAATCCTCCCTTATTCTTCTCCTAGCTCCCTTTTATAGAGTAAAACTAGGTGTCCATGAGAGGTACATAATGACCCATGACAGGTAGTTTTTTGAGCACTTCTCAGCCTCCAACAAGTTTTGTGTTCAAACAGATTCACTAAGAAGCTGTGTGAATGTTCATAAAAGGGAGAGACAGAGGGGATGATCTATGAGAAATCAGAAGTTTCTACATAATTTTTCTTTTAAAGTTTAAGAATCGAAAAATACACTTTGACTTAGCAAAGCATTTCCCTAAAGTGGCCTACAGGACACAGCTGCAGAGAGGCTGCTGGAGGAGGGTCATTTGGTCCTTCAGGTTTGGACACACTGGGTGAAATAGTTCTCTCTACTACAGGGCTGCCTGGAGTTTTCAATCACCTAAGGTGCATTTTTTTTTTTTTTGAGATGGAGTCTCACCCTGTTGCCCAGGCTGGAATGCAATGGCACAATCTCGGCTCACTACAACCTCCGCCTCCTGGGCTCAAGTGATTCTCCTGCCTCAGCCTCCCGAGTAGCTGGGATTATGGGTGCGCACCACCTTACCCAGCTAATTTTTTGTATCTTTAGTAGAGACGGGGTTTCACCATGTTGGCCAGGCTGGTCTCAAACTCCTGACCTCGTGATCCGCCCACCTCGGCCTCCCCAAAGTGCTAAGGTGCATTTTAAATCTCGAAGACAGAGGCAGAAGCTCTAAGGACCTCCTGTCTTGAGAGTTGCTTTCTGAGGCAGGAACTTGCCTTAAGAGAACAAAAGCTCTCTACAAGAACTACCCTGCCATTGAGGTGACTGTTCTTTCTATAGAACTGAGAGCACACTGATGCAAATGAAGAAAAGCAGAGAGAGGTTCAGCAAGTTGCGTGGGTCACACAGTCAGTAAGAGTGGAGCTGAGATTTGGATTCAGGAAGACTGGTCCTATATTACCCCTCTATCATGATCCCTGGTATGCACATTCTCTACACTGCTGATCCATGGCCTCAACTTTCCTCTTTACAGGCCCCTAAGAGGGAATCTGTCACCAGCCATGACAGGCTCTGAAGATCCCACCTTTTGGCTAATAATGAGCCTTCTAGATTTTCCTGAGTACTGAGATGATTTATTGTATCACTGCTATCTAATAACTTTCTTTTTAATTACAAAAATAAACCTTATCCATCTCCCCACTTGGCGTTTTAAGTTTGATAGAAATATAAGATTTGCTATGACTTTTGTTCTGTACTAAACCATTAACAAGAATGGGTGAGGAAAGTGACCATTTTGTGTTAGAAATAGTAGGAGAATTCAACACTGAAGTGCCACCAGATATAAGCCTTGTAAAATAAAGCTAAATATCTATATCTACCCGTCAGCTACTAAAAGTTGACTACTTTAACACATTTTAAATTTTAAATTATGCATCACCTACTACTGTGAGAAAACTCATATTTTAGATCGGATTTAGACAACAGTGGATTTTTCTAGAGCTCTTCATTGTCTTCGTATGAGAGGGAGGTACAAATCAGAAGTTCAACATAGCACCATTGAGTTGACACTCAGAGCTGAGTATCTCAACAGAAAAGCAACCTATCAGTAGAATCTAATGTATTATTTTAAAATGTTTCCTCTAGTTAATTATCAAGTGATTGCCCAAGTCTTCCAAGGAGGTAAAATGTAGATATCATCAAATTCAACAATATTTTACACTTACAGAAGGAAATCTACAGGTTTTAAGTAAAACTTTTTGCTCTGATTTGAGGTCCTAGTGAATCAAGCCCTATTTGTATAACATGGACATAAATTATTATTAATACAAGTGTTCACAGCATCTTTTCATGTACCTCTCCTCCTACCCTTTTGTTATGCTGACCACAAAAATAGATAGAAATGATTAAATATAGAAATGAGTTAAGGATAGATTAGGTAGATTTCACAAAGAAAAGGGAGAACACAAAAACATAAATCCAGGAAGGTAGAAGAAGAACGGACAGAGGAGAAAAGCTATGAGGCTGATCTGCAGGCTGGGCTGGAGGGCAGGAGCTCATGGAACAGAGAGAGGAGAGGAGGAGAGTTTGGGGCTCTACTGCAACCCATGTAAAAGGAACTGGAAGTAAAATACGTGTCCAAACAAAATGTCCAATACGTTCTGCTGTCCTTTAATTATTGATTCTACCTTTTGTTTTTTTCCTCTGGAAGGAGAAGGACTAGATAAAAGATTTTTTTTTTTCTAACTGGTTCTTCTTTGATCCCAGCTTGGACCAGGGCTGGACCCCATGGGGCCCTAGGTTACATTTCAATTTTTCAAAGGTAGACATATTTTACACCCTGTGTATTCCATCAGAGAGGAGAAAAATAGAAACATTACCATTGAAGTTTTAGTTAAATAAATTACTTTGTTTTGCAAAGACTAGAGTGAAGCAGCATAATTATCTATTAATTCTTTCTTACTGAGAACATTAATAGTTTTTCAGTCTCACACTAATTACCAATATGACTAATGGGCAAAATATGTCATCGCAAATTAGAAAACAAATTGCCAATATTGTATTATTGTTAGATTTTTATATTTACTACTTAAAAACATACACTTCTGGCACTTAATAAATCATTATGGCTTTTATCATTTGCCTCATTTGCTCTACCCAGAACTGTAAATTCCTTGAGACCAGGGCCATATTCCGTATTAATTTTGGTTCCTACAGCAGCACTTTGCTTGTAGTAGATCTTCAATATATAACAATTGAGCAAAATAAGAGGGAAATAAGTGTTTATAAAGAAAGGCCTCCCCTATCCAGGTTTCATAGAAAGATCATCACAATAACCATGATTAAATACCAAAAAGATCATTTTCAAAGTAATTCACCCCAGATTGATGTACAGTACTGACCTTTAAGTCTTTTAAGTTAAAAAAATATATAATTAATTTTTTATATGTACAAGGATTCTCTAAAAGTAAATAATAGCTAAGACATAATTCAGACTTAATTCCTACTTCATTCTTTTCAGCTTTGGGTTTTATTAAACAAATTGAATGCTGTTAATTATTAATTTATTTTGCAATAATATAAAGCATGCATGTACGAAGGGAGAAAGGGGGTAATTATGAAGCTTATTTCGGATCATTTTATATGGTGATACCCATAAGGCCCATTCAGTAATAACCTAGTCATTAGGCTAATTTTCATTTTTTATAACATAAACTTGTGACATGAAATAACCAATCATGAAGAAAAACAGTCCTCCCAGGCTACAATATTACCAGTTGGGAGTGTTCACTTTTGCAGAGAGCACCTGACACTTACTGGCGTGGGTTTAAATCTGCACAGGGCAAATCTTGATCTCTAAACTTCCGCAGAAGCACACGGGTGAGGTCCAAGTTGTCGCCCCCACTGCTGCTGTTCATTGTGAGACAAAGGAAACAAAGTGGGATTATTAGTGGCTCCCAACAGAGAATGGAGAACCAGCTGCTGACCTCACATTGTGCCCTAGTCAGGCTGATCCATCTAATGATTCCTAGTAAGTGAGATACAGCTAATTTTCCACTGTTTTTATGATAATGCCAAACAAGCAATAAAATTGGAAAATTTATTACAAGTATAGTTTTGCCATCAGATATGCATTTTTATAGACTCACATTCACAGTACATTATTTTCCTCAACATTTTCACTTAATATAACACCACCATTTTTCACATATTTACATGGTTTTTAAAAACAAATTTTAAAGGCTACATAATATCATATTGTGTTAATATATTAAAATCTGCAAAACTATGCTCTTAAAGTTGGAGCTCCAGTTTGGTCTGAATATTTGTTCTATTAACATAGTCCTGAAATAAAACAATTTCTAATGTAAGAAATATCATTTGGTTTCTATATGTGAGCTACATTGAGCTACATTTTCTTAACAGAGGTCCTCAACACAGAATCCTATGTGTGCTTTAAGTACACATTAAATTTTACTGGCACACATCTCAGAAGTCTATTTGTAGTTCAAGCAGCATTACTGAAAGCCAAAACCACCAATACTGAATTTCCTTACTGAAGACACCATCAGCAATAAGACACTATTCATGTCACTGTGGGGAGTTGTAGAAACAAACCCTGTATTAAATTTTATACCTCAATTATAAGACAATCTTGAGAAAATGTAGAGAAAAAGACATTTTAAGATTTTCTAAATTGGACTGAATGAGAATGAGCTCATTTAATTAATTAAAATTCTAAATTAGTATTTAGAAAAGAGTATAGATTTCTTACTTTTCAGAACTTACATTGCATTATTTATAAAATACTTTTTGAGTAAGAATCTTTGCAAACACTTGTCTCAAAAATTTCAAAAATGGTATATAATCAGCATTATAGATTATATAGATATACCTGGTGACCTCAATTCTTTTTGGAAAGAATTATTATATAAATTAACAAATATACATAAGTGACTCCTTTTAAAGAACTTAAAACATTAGCTACATTGAAGAAATGCAAACACCAGAAGCTGGGAAGAATAGGGGAGAGAAAGAGGTTGGTTAATAGGTACAAACATACAGTTATAAAAAAAAATAGGTACTAGTGTTCGATAGCACAGCAGGGTGACTGTAGTTAACAACAATTTATCCTATTTTCAAAACAGCTAGAAGATTTGAAATGTTCCCAAAGTAAGACATTATAAATATTTGAGGTGATAGATATCCTAAATACCCTGCTTTGGTTATTATACATCGTACGCATGTATCAAAATATCACATGTACCCCATAAATATGTATAATTATTATGAGCAATAAAAAAGCTTTAAAACAGAAAATGCAAAAAAAAAAAAAAAGAAAGAAGAAATGTAAGCAACCACAGAGCAATCTGTAACCACTGATTTCTCTAATTAATTTTTTGTTCTCAGACAAGAAATAATTGAGTCCAAAATATTTTTCTGAATTGCTATTAGCATTAAAATGTAGAAAGGTCTGAGGTGGAAATGTAGGAATTTCCAACCACATCCTGCAGAACAAACGTAAGCTCAGAATGAGAAGAAACTTCTCATTAGGCTACTGTTCAGTGTGACCGTACACATAGAATGGAACATTACAGACTCCCAATTTCTCTAATTCCTTTAGTGAGCTCTTCTAACATACCAATCTGACATTTTCTTTGCTCAAAATGTATCAATGGCTTCTTGTTACCTATGCGTTTTGAAATAGTATTTGAATCCCTCCACAATCCTAGGGCCTGTTGCTCACCATTTCTTCCTGAGCACGGCACCCAGCCCAGCCTAGCCAGCGCAGCCCAGACCAGGAGAACCACTGTTTGATTGGGCAGATCTGCTTTTGAGGGTGCTGATCCCTCTGTCTCGGTATCTCCAATATCCTGGACACTTGATTGGAAGCCATCTCCAGCCTGGCCTGGAAACCTTGGTTGGAACACCGATTCCATAATAAGTCCTCCCTGCCTCCTCTGCTCCATTTGTCCTGCCTGGTGGCCTTAGTATACATCTTCACTGGAGTTTAACTGGAGGCTTACCCTTGTTCTCATTACTGGAATGAAGCAATCCTTGAGGAAAGGGCACAATGCTTAGGATAGGTGTTGGAACTCAGGGTCTCATAAATGATGTGTCGAACCAAGTTGTGATATGTTAACAATGCACTGAATTCATTGGCCTCATCCTTAATCTCCATCCAATTATTTTACTTCCCTAAATCTGGCCCTTTCTGAACTTTTACCATTCAAACAAAAACAAAATTTAATTGAGAAGAAATGCAACTCATTACATTAAATTAGTATTATATTTCTGCTGAGGAGGACTTTGTTTCCAGAGCAACTTAAAATGCAAACACCTCTGTGGCATCCAAATCCAGAAATAAATGTTTACAGAAAAACACTATCTTCCCCACTGCATAAAATTTAATAAAGATTTTAAAATATTCGTATGGTTTACAACTGTCCTAATATAATTCCCTACAGCTGTGGCCAGAAACACACAATGATGGAACTTGCTGAAATTTACAACAAAGTTATGTCTCATAAGTAGGCAGTGTGACCTCTGTATAAACAGCCTTCAGGTTTCTAACAAATTAGGAAATGCAAGCTTCTTTTAAAAGTATCTTTGTCACCACAAACTTCAAATGCTTTTTCCTAAACTATCCCTCTTTTGTTGCCTTCAAACTCCTGGCTATATTTTAAAGTAAATCTCTATGTTAGAAACATTTGACATCTGTCCTTACTAGACTCTAGAAATTGAAAATTACTACCTATGATTCTCGAGGAACTTCATAAATGGAATCACTCTCTCTAATAATCATCTCTTAAAATTTATTGTGCACCAGAGTGACCCAAGGAGCTTGGCTGAACAAATACACACTCCTAATGGGCCTTCCTGGTTAACAAGTCCCCCCAGTGGTTCTGATTTAGACAAGGATCAAACCAACCTTGAGAAACACTGGGGCATCTGGGAAGACAGCAGCCTACACTCTCCCCTTCCTTCCTCCATTCCTCCCTTCCTCCCTTCCTCCTTTCCTTTCCGTTCCGTTCCGTTCAGTTCCATTCCTTTCCATTCCATTCCATTCCATTCCATTCCATTCCGTTCTTTTCCCTTCCTTTCCTTTCCTTTCTTTATTCCTTCCTTCCCTACACTCTCAGCTCCAGTCTTTCGACCTCTCCTGATCCAACCAGCTTTTGGTGTTGATAAATTTCTGGTTCCAGGTGAGGTCTTGGGCTCTATGGGATTTGCTACTAGCCAAGCAAATTCAGGGCCATCATCTCTACAGGCCAGGCCACATATGAATGCAATGTGAAGAACAGGAGCAGAGCATCCAGGGAAAAGGACCAGAAAGGACCCATCCTGGGAGGTGTGGCCCTCAGAGACCTGCAAATCTCCAGAGACCTCAGCCTCCCCTCTCTCGCTGGACCCCAATAGTCAAGAAAAAGCTTAATTAAAGGAGCTGATGCCTTCTATTCCTAAATGAGAGAGAGTATAGGAAGCAAAGGTCCCCACCTCCCTGAAAAAAACAGAAAGTACTGGCAGCCCAGCTGCTGCCCTACAGAGGCAGAATGTGCTTTGATTCGGAACTTCGTCCAGTTGATAGGCAACATACTTATCTGATCTGTCAAAACAGCAATAACAAACACATGTCCTGGGGTCCCAGCAACCAGAGAAAAACCCAAACAGTGCCAATATTTATGAAAAATAAAGGTGCTGCAGGAATACACACTTTAAAATTAAAAACAAAACAAAACAAAACAAAAAAACAGAGAAGCACATGCCTACACAGGACTTTCTCAAACCAAGAAGAATGGTTTCCTGAAGATAATATTAGAGGTATAAATTGAGTAAGAGGATAGCCACTGTTTAGATACAAACAGTGATGTATAAGAAAAATCCACACAGAAGGAGGACAAAAAGGAAAAAGAAATCCTTAAGGAAAGATAAAGAATTAAAAGATGGATTTGGAAGACCCTAACATGAGATGTGCTAGGAGTTCTAAAAGGAGGTAAAGGAAAAATGGGTGTGAAGAAATTAGATTAATAATAGAAGAAAATTACCCTGAACTGGCAGGATGCGGTGGCTCACGCCTGTAATCCCAGCACTTTGGGAGGCCAAGGCCGGCAGATAACCTAAGGTCAGGAGTTCGCGACCAGCCTGGCCAGCATGGTGAAACCCTGTCTCTATTAAAAATACAAAAATGAGCCAGATGTGGTGCTGCATGCTTGTAATCCTAGCTACTCGGGAGGCTGAGGCAGGAGAATCACTGGAACCCAGGAGGTGGAGGTTGTAGTGAGCCAAGATCACGCCACTGCACTCCAGCCTGGTCAACAGAGTGAGACCCTGTACTCCCCCACCCCCCAAAAAAATTACCCTGAACTGAAAAAAAGACTTAAATCTGCAGTTTTGATAAGGAAACAGTAGGGGGGGGGGAATCCTTTACTCCAAGGATAAAGAAGAAATCTTGCACAATTCCAGACAGAAAAAGTTACCTATGAGGGGAAGAGACTCAGATAGACTGCTCCAAATAAGACTTCATACCTGGAAGCTACAAAAATAATCCCCCTCATATCACTCCCCAGACTTTAGAACTTCTTAATGCCTCCCTGCATTGTGTTTGCAAGATAATGTCAATTCTCCTCAGAATGCCTTATAATACCGTAATACCTGCCAGAAACCATCAAGGCTTCTGCTAGACTTCCTGCCTTACTTTTCACATTTACTCACACTCTTCCTTTAGAGAGAGTACAAGAGAAGAAACTTTCTCTTCTCCACGTCTGGAAAACACCTGTTATCTCAGAAGAAGCAATTTAGGGGGCATAGCCTTAAAAAACCTTCTTTGACACCCCTAAATATCTCCCCATGTGGCTTATGCACAACCCCTGCACCAAGTATCTACCTATAAGACTTTCCCATCTGTTTGTAGGGATCATTTCTCTGCTTGACTGTAAACTTTCTCAGGGTAGAACTTATGGCCTTGTAAGTGTTTGTGGAATGAGAATTAGAGCCAGGAGGCCTGAAATGGATTCTCAGTCCTGTTGGCTAGTTGGCTAGGTTGTGCCAACTGAGGAGTTCACCCAACATCTGTGAGTTCACTGTCCACAATGAGAATGTCGTCATCAGGGATTCTCTCTCTTTTTTCTTAAATTTCAACCCACTAAGAGGTACGACTACCAGCAATTCACAAATTACTGAATCTCAGGTGGGCTGAGCTGAAGAACAGTTCACCCAGGGTGAGGGGCCATGAAGTACATCCTAAATTCATGGTTGGGTAGAGCATGAAGGATATATATTCACTCATGGGTAAACATTTTAAAAATGCCTACTCAGTGCTGGACTTTGTCCCCATACAATGTATACATAATTAAGTCAAGCAAATAGTTTCAGCTATTTCATTTACCATCTGTTTTTTCCCACTGGACTGTAAAAGGACCATGGGCGAGTTACATTGAGAAAGCAGCTTCTGTGCCATGACTGAGAGGAAGAATGCTCTTGGGGTATCCAACTGGACATGCAAAGTCGGTCCAGAGTTTGGATGTTCTATGACCTGGACGAAGCCTGGTGTGAAGGCGGACCTTGCAGACAAGGGAAGGGAAACCAGGAAATGAGATCAGAGGGGCAGCCAGCACTTTGTATGTTATTCTGCCAGAAAAAAGGCTTCCAAGAGCCTGCTGGTGAGTGTGCTACATCCTCTCCATCCCGCTCAAAAGCACAGATGATATATTAGGTCCATCCTAGTATTTACTAAGAATAAGAAGAAAAATAACTTTCATTATATTTCTTCCAAACAATTGTCCAATTACTTTCCATTCGTCCTCTCACTGAATTACTGAAACAAAGTGAAGCAATCACTACTATCTCATGTGATAAAGATGCCACATACATAGAAGGAAGTTGTACATATATGAGGAGAAGAATATAAATAATTGAAGATGTTCTCTATGAATGTTAACATCACTGGATCATGAAGTATACATTTATCACATCCCGGTGACCATTTTGCAAAACCTGGTGGATGTTTTTGAGATGACAGAACACCAACAAATATACACCAACAATCACTGTCAGTCTTCAGTTAATTTAATTTCTGTTATCCTTCTGCATATAGCAGAAAAGCTTGAGTTTTACAGAACACCAAGTGATTCTACTGTAGGCAAGTGGCCAAGAGATTGGTCAAATTTAGTGGTATTTGTTAAGGAAGATGTTGTAGGAAATGTTGTGGGTTGAATGATTTCCCTCCAAATTTCATGCCCACTCAGAACCTCAGAAAGTGATCTTATTCGGAATGAGTTTGTCCAGATATAATTAGATGAGTTCATACAGGATTAGAGTGGGTACCATATCCAATATGACCGGTGTCCTTCTAAGAGGGAAATGTGGACACAGAGACATGCAGGAGGAAGGCCACATGAAGACAGGAGGCTGAGACTGGAGTGATGCTGCCACAAGTCAAGGCATGTCAGGGATCGCTGGCAGCCACTGAAGCTAGAGACACAAGGAAGGATTCTCCCCTGGAGCCTTCAGAGAGGACATGGTCCTGCTGACCCTTTGATTTCAGACTTCTGGCCTCCAGAACAGTGAGAAAATACATTTCTGTTAAGTAACCCAGTTTGTGGTTCTTTGCTATAGCAGCCCTAGAAAACTAAAAAACGCACCCAGTTTCTGCTGGCATGCTAACAGGAGAAGGGGATGGTGACAGTGGGCACCGACTGGCCACATACATCCACTGGCCCTCTTGGGTTCTTAAAGAACTGGTGTAGCAACCAGGACTTGGGAGTCCTACACTTGCTCCTTCTAGGTCTTTTTCTAGGTCTCCTAGTTGGAGAACTAGGAGAAAAAGAGAGAGAGTTTGGGGGTAGGAACAAACTCAGCAGACAGTGGGCCAGGGTCAGGTCCATGTTCAAGGAGGGCTCACGGGTTTTTCTAATGCAGTGAACTAGTGGTATATTTAGGACCATCTCCTCTAGTAAGGACTAAGAGCCCCATCCCAGAAGATGAGGTCATGGAGCCTAAATATTTTATATTTTTAATGTGTAGAGAGCTGTCTTTCTATGCTCCATTTGTTTGTCTGCTGCCTGTCCAAGTTAATTTCTGGAAGACATTTTTGATACATTTCATTTTCATTATTTCAATTTAACAAGGATTTAATGAAAGTAATCATTTATAGACATGTTGGCAGGAACTAAAGGTACAGATATAAAGAAGGCTTGATCCTTAAGCTCCAGGAAGTCTCCCTGTAGGAAGAAAGGCAAGAATCTCCCGCACTAAGTTAAGCCACAGTGACATCCACACAGGAATGACAGACATTCAGATGAGAGAGCAAGCACAGAGGATCCTTGGAAGGGGGCATCTGAGCCGGGTTTTGAAGTATTCTTATTTTGCTGGGAACATTAGAGTGTATAGAGTGGGAGTGGCAGAGGACTGAGGAGAGGAAGGTAGTTTCCATTTCCTTAAACAGGGAGAGATGCAGCAACATCATGTATGATTGTGTCATTCTGAAGTTCAGAGCATGAGATAAAGGGAGTGGCAGAGGCTGCAGAGGCACCAGGAGGACCTGTAGGATATGCTAAGATGTGGCAATATCATCCCTTGGGCAATATGGAGCTGCTCAAGGTTTTGAGCAGGTCCGTCAGGTCTTACCAGCCTCAGATGTCTGCAAGCAGGTGCAGCTGTGTTCACACTATATCTCTCAGAGATGCACCACCCTCCTCTAATTTCTCTGGGGCTGCTCTGTGCTGCTCGCCTCCACCCTAAACAGGCACAGAGGCCCTGCCACCCTTTTCTCACACTTCTTAGTGGGGAGGGAGAATTTCTGGAGCACTCTCAAAACAGCAATCAGAGCAAGTTGATTCAGAACAAAACTGAGTCAGAAGCCTGGGTCATGAATGGCTGACCAGACCCCAAACCAACACAGACATGCTCCATACTTCTCCTCCTCCCTCACAGTCTATAAAGTCAATGTGCTGTGGAGGTCTGGTTACAAAACAAGCATCTTTACAGCCCTGTGGATGTCATGCGTTCACTCCCTACCTGGCCACCAAAGCATGTGAGTTGGAGAACACTGCAGACTGAGTTGCCAAAGCCCCAGGTTTGTTTGGGCCCAAGAAGCTCAAACCCTCTATGAGCTGTGGGGGTGTCATCTGTTCCCTTCATTTGTAGAAGGATTCAGGTAGAAAAGAACCTCTCTAGTGCATTTCTTCTGGTTTGTGCTTTTATGAAGATTTGTATTCTGCAAGAAATTTTCAGTGAATTTAATGTAGATATATAATTGCATTTTCTCAACTCTAAAATTTTAGAAGCATGGGGCTCTATTGAGAATTGTCAGAACACTAATAAGATAAGATTTATATGTATCTTCCAAATCAGCACAAAGCTAATGCATTCATGATTTTTGAAAGCCACATGCAGGCCTGAATTATGCATCTATCAACAGGGAGTTACCCTAAGGAGAAAGAGAGGGAGTGTAATGGCAATCTTATATGCCTTCCCAAGGAGACTGCTCACAGATGTTATAAAATGGGGTTGTCCCACATTTGGAGCAGCAAGGATGGGTGCTGGGTTACCACGGGTGGCCTGTGTACACAGGGAGTCAGGAGGACTATAAGATGTGAAAATCTGGGCCCCTTTTGAATCATTCCTGTGCCAAGATTTAGATCATGGTGCTCAGATTCAATAACGAAGGAATGGCCACATCATTTATCACTCATAAGAGGGCACTTTTGAGAGTGGAAAGAGGCAAGTTTAATACAAATGCAAAACAACAGGGGTTGTCTTCAGAGAAATCAAGGTACACACTCAGAGAGGATCCAGTATGCAGAAGAAAAGTAATGAATGTCAGTGGAGAATTCCTAACAAGAGCAGTTATAGCACCCATAAAATGATCAAATGATGATAGTTATTCTTCTCGCCCACTAATTTTTGACTATCACTGCAAACATTAGAGATAATAACAAAAAAGCAAGAAAATGTTCCATCAATGTGGATGCTTCCTGGTAGCTTTTTACTTTTTCCTCATAACTAACTAAACTACCACTCTACTAAAATAAAAACTGAGAAAATGTAAGCTTGTTCTTTTCTCTTTAGACAGAAATTAACCATGAGAAGTGGGGCACTTGCAATCACTGATGGAACAGGTACGATAGCCTGTGTAGGCAGGACTCCTTTGTAAGGATGAGAAAATAAACCTCCAGACATGTGAATGTCTCTGTTTCATAAGTTAAGTAACATTATGAAAAATGAGAACAAACCAATATCTCAATTTAAAATAGTAACTCTTAGAAATAGAAGAAAATATTAAAATATCTTAATTCTCAGACTCAAAATAATTTTGAAGTGCATCACTTCTATAACAAATGAATACTGGGAGAGTAGGAAAAATGCTTTCAAATGAAAAACATAATCGCCAAATTAACAATGCAGTAGAGAAAGTGAATGGCTATCTGGAGTCAACTGAAAATGGTATCAGTGAAATAAACACCATGAAGGGAAATTCTCAGCGGTCTCAGAAGAAAAAGATAAGCGGTAAAGTTGAGAGAGGGGAGGAGGGTGAAGAAGTCAGTTAGAAGCAAAATATGATGTGGAAATACACTTATATATATATAGATGATGCTTAATATATTCAATATGTAAAGTAAAATTTTAAATAACCAAAAAACTTTGAAAATATTCAACTTCAATAGTAATCAAAGAGCTGCCTATTAAGCAATGAAATATCAGGTCTGAACTATCAAAACTTTTAGAGTTTAGAGAACTGAACTTCCTTTCTCCCACAAAACTAGGGGTTTTGGTTTGTTCTAATTATACATATAACTACCACCTAGAACAGTAGCTAGCATATAGTAAGTACACCATAAATATTTGTTGAAGAAAAGAATCAATGACTTTATAAGACTGTTAATTGGCACACATTTATAAGGGTAATTTGGCACTATCTACCATAAAAATACTGATGCCTTTGCCCCCCAAAATTCTAATAGAAATGTCTGATGGTAAGAATAAGTAGATAGTCACCTAAATCTAACTAAATAAAGATTGTTATACAGCATTGCCTATAATAGGAAAAAAAAAACAAATAAATAAACCTTTATATGCCCCCAAAAAGAGACTGTCTAAATAAATTAATGTGCCTCCAACAACATACTACTAAAGAGCCATTCAGTAGTCAGGGTACTGTAGTTTTCATGAGTAAAGTGGTTGTACTGATTTATAAGAAGAGATACAAAGATATTATGGAGTGTAAAAGAGTTACAGAGAGTATTACAGTGTAATCTCATTGTGATAACAAATACAAATGCATGTAGATACAAGTATTATGTATATCATGTGGCAGATTATCCCAGTAGGTTTACTGTAGATATCTCTGGTAAAATTACATGTGATTGTTTTTTATTTTATTTTTTGGCTAGCCTGTGCTTTGTATTATTTTCTTCAAGAAACATATTTTATAATCAAAAGACTCAAAATAGTGATAGCCCTTTTATAGTTGAGGAGTGTGACAAGGAGGGAACAAACTGAAGAGTTTACCATAGATTTTTACTTTGTCCATGTATTTGTTTAAATCTAATTCCAAATTACACATCACTACAAAAATTACACACATATTAGTAGGCTCTTAGAGATTAGCTGGTTAAGCTGCTTATTTTAGTAAGCATATATATTTGACAAAAGCAGAACTGACACTGTCCTCTTAGTTGTCTTCATGTTGAAAAGCCTAGCCAGTATGCTTGTGCAGTTGTAAACTAGTATCACTGAGTTCCAGTCATTTGTCTCCCCATCCCAAATGTGAAAAATTGTAGCCACCTTGAAGACGATTTTGCATGTTCAATGTAATGATGTCTGGATCACAGCCATGGCCGTGCCCGGCAAGGGCCGGGCCTCCCTGACTCTGCACAGATTCTCCTGAATCTAGAGAGGAGCCCGCTAAACTAAGGCAAAGGAACTTAGGGGATCGGTTTCTATCTTAGGTTCCCAACCCTTGTGTATGAATCTGCAACCCAGAAAGCTCTGAGTTCTTGCGTAAATTCATTTGGTGGCAAAAACCCAGGCTCTTCTGAACGCACCGGCAACAGATCCTGCTCAATTGACCCCAGCCTGGGGAGGCTCAGGGCTTCCATCCCTTCCGTGCTGTCATACGTTTCTCCGCAGAGAGGTGTGTGCAACTGTGGGGCTGTTGTCCCAGAAACAACTGTGGAGGGCTTTGTGAAAATACCACATATATCTAATACGTTCTAGAATCCTACAAATCCCGGAGTCTATCCCGCCCTCCTGTGGGGCAGGGCGTGCTGGGCCCTCTGCAGGTCGGCGGGTGACAGCTTGCGCCCTTTCGCGCAGGGACTCGGCCACCATGAGGAGGGGTCAGGGGCTCAGGATTCGGAGACCAGGCAGCCTCATTAGCCTTAAGCGCCTGCCCTGAGACAGCCTGAGAGGAGCAAGAGCTTCTCCAAGGATCTCCTCGTGAATTCAGACCTCGGAAATAATGAAAACATTTATATTTCCAGTTTTTATCTAGAATTCTCAAAAGTATCGAAGCTATTGCAATTCATAATCTGCCTCGACATAATTTCGAAATCAAAGGAACAAAAACAACTTACCTGAAAAAGTAGGTCTCGGCCCGCTGGTAATGTCCAGGTGTGAGTCTGAGGGGAGGGTACTCGGTGGCCAGGGGTCTCACCATGAACAAGCCCATGGCCAAGGCCACGAAGAGGACTGGCAGCAGCAGGTCGGCGAGGGTGCTCTTCCCGGCGCGCAGCGTGCGGCGGAGCCTCCGGGCCAGGATCGCGGCCACTTGTGCGCGGAGCAGCTGGACGCCCTGCACAGTTGCGGGCCGTGCTAGGGAGCCACCTGCAGGACGGGCGGGAGGAAGGGCGGCTGGGTCAGCTCTGCGGAGGTGACAGCGCTTTGCCTCGTTTGCCCTCTCGGTGACCCTGCGGCATCTCGCAGCCATGGGAATGCGACGCAGGCCCACCCCATGAGGACTCCCTTGAGTGTCCCCTTTATGCACCTAAAGTGCGGAAGCTGGGCCTTGGGCCGGAAGGCTGCAATGCAAGAGGAAGCCTCGTGGCAACGCGTGGCAGGAGCAGGGCGTGTGAGCTCCGCTGCGCTTAGAGCGGACGACACACCTGGGCTGCTCCTTTGCTTCCTCCTCCTCTCTCCCACCATCCTTTTCCTCTCTGTTCTTAACTCCAGGTCTCTCCTGGGAAAACCCCAGCTTATGTGTGGGTCGGGATTCATTCAGGGAATAACCCCACGGCCTGCTTTTCCTCAGTTCCACCGTCCCTGCACCCCGCCCCCGCTCCTCCCGGCGCCTTCCACTTCCCCGCAGGGCATAGGAGAGCCCGGCGCCTGCCCACTGCGCCTCCCTGCTCCCGCTTCCCTGCTCTGGGGGACGCAGCGAATGTGAAAACATCCTCAGCTATCAGAGCGATCCACAAGCAAAATTCGAAAGGAAAGCGTGAGCTGTGCATCATTCATCTACTGATCATCCGGCCACGCTCCCTCAAGAGTGATCCTTTGGAGCCTCTACCAACGAATCTCAGTAAATCTCCTGGAGTTGAGGTTGCACGTTCCAAACAAGCTGTGGAGAGCAGCTTTTCTGTCCACTGGGTGGATGAGAAGCTGGGAGCAGAGACAGAGGTAGCCCATGGACTGCAGTCTTAAACGACGTCCAAAGCAGGACTCAGCCGGATCAATCAGCTGTGGTGATAGTTTTTCCCAGTGATTGACTCTAAAGTACTCCAGAAAATCCAATATGAAGTATTTCACAAGAAAGGCAGTCTTATAAAGAACAGATGTACTAAACGGATTGTACTGCTCACAAACACCAAACTGAAATACAGTTAATAGAGAGCAGCAAACAAGTTTGAAGACCCAAAAGAGAACATTTTTAAAGAAGCTGTACCATGTGAAAGAGACATCATTTGTCACAGCATTGAGAACAGAATTGTAGAGGGGTCATGGGGATAAAAATGCATATCTGAGAAAACTTCATTTGGGATATTTACTGAGTGCCCAGTGTGTGCAGGCGCTGGGCTCTTTGGTTTCTGTCCCCAACATACGGGTTGAGATAAAAATGTAAAGAAATAACCCAGCACACTGTAACAAAGTGTCAGGCTGGAAAGAGTCGGTACCAAGGAGTGAGTCCTTGGGATGCTGAGGAAAAAGTGAGAAACAGGCCAAGCGGCCCGGACGTTCAGGTAGAATCCTTGAGATCCCTGGGAGTTTACAGGCAGACAAGAAAATGTGGAAGTCTAAAGATCAAAACAGGAGGTATAAATAGGCCTGGCATTCTCTGTGAATAGCAAGGAAACAGAATGTGGCACATCCGTGTAGCAAGTGGCAGGAGATGAGAGTTAAAAGTGATCAGAAACCAAGACAAGAAAGACCTGCACACCCATTTTTAAGGATTTCAGGGTTTGTGCTGGACAGAAGACTTCCAAACCCAGTAGTCACTTGGGCTGAGTCACATGTTAGACTTCCAAATTATAAGGCAAATTAGTATTTAATTTTAATGAATAAAGTTCTAATGAGGATGAGGCATTAGGTAGTTAAAGCAGTGGTTTCTAAACCAGGCTGCATATCAGATTAACCTGGGAACATTTTAAATGCTGGTTGCCAGGCCCTATCTCAGAAAAAAAAAAAAAAATCCCAATCTCCAGAGACTCAGAGTTAAAAGTGTGTTTTTATAACTTCCCAGAAGATTGAAATTCTCAGCCAGTCTATGGAACCACTGATTTAATGCATTTATCAATGGTGATCCATATACAGCTCTCATAAAGCAGTTATTAAGTCAGCATATAGACAGATTATATTGCTAGGAAAAAAGTATGTCATTAAACTAAATTTTATATCTCTACCTATCTATCTATCTATATATATACACACATACAAGTATATACACTCTTCTTGATGATTTTATGAGGTTATAGTGCTGGATAACACCAATTCTATTAAGTCTGCATATTTATTAGGATAAGTATTTGAATTCTCTAACTCAAGCTAAAATAACTGGGATGTTTTTGGGTGCCCATCCCTGGATTTCTAAAAGTAATTACTGAAATAATTACTTGATATCTTCACAGCCCTTTGACCAAGAAGCTCTTTCTCTGACAAGGTAAAATGCCATACTTTGTTCAGGCTTAAAAGGAACTGAATAGCCACAGTTCACCAAATGTCACAACCTACAAATTAGCCTTTACGTAGCAGCTTTTGACATTCACATCTAGCCACCCATTCTTAGCCACCTGCCAAACTGTGCACCTTCTCATATTTGTGTACAGCAGGGAAATGGCTGTAAATACCTGCTTAGTTGGCAGAAGAGATATTTGTTAAGTGATACAAAACTGACATGACTAAACAAGTATTGGATATCTACTTAGCAATTAGCTCTGGTAACAGAAAAGGAATAGAGTAGACTCAGAGAGTGGTGATTTATGTGCACACTGGCCTGGGTTCATTGAGAACAATCATCAGAGCCACTGTGGGGTGGGGAACATTCAATTTTTTAATCCTGGATTTGAATCTAATCTCAGCCACCAACATATCGTGTGGATTCTGGAACATTATTTAACCTCTCTGAATGTCATCTCCTCACTTGTAAAGTAGAGATTTGTAATATTTTCCCTCTATGTAATGAGAATTATTATTAGAACAGTTATTAAACTGCCAGAATAAACGTAATGTTGACCCGGAGTCATAGTAAATGTTCATCAGACAGCCTCGATAAGTCTGTGGGGAAAGATGTTTCTCATATTAAGAAGAATAAATTTTCTCCACCTTCCCGTATATGTTAATTGGACATAAATGAGAAAAATAAAGGGCTAATATAGTTTATGGTTATGAATCAACCACCAATCAAATATTCATGGCTTAACTCATGAAAGTATTCGCATGAATAATTTAACAGACAAAATTAAAATGCTGGGCCAAATTGTTATGAATTGCCTTCTTTGACTTATGAGTGCAATTATATTCAAGGACTCTAGTTTCATCCATAATCATGCATTCCCATTTATCCTGACCATCAAATTGCTTGGGAAAAATGTCCAAAGAATTTTTCTTTTGGTCACTTGGCTGCAATTGTTCAAACATTAACACCTATGAGAAATAGCTTAAATATCAAAGTCTCAGCAAGCATCCAAGAATATGATCTCCACACTACCCAGTTCATCCAAGTGTTCTTGAAGATTTTATAATAAAGCTTTACAAACATAATGCTTTCAAGTCAGTAAAATTAAGATGAAAACTCCAAAAGAAAATGGGCACACAACGTTCAGGAATATACAGTTAATAAAAGATTTACAAAATAGCCAATATGTAAATATTGTAATCCAAGGCAATAATTTAGTTTTTAAACTAATCAATATAGTAAAGATTAAAGATAATGTTAACATCTAATATTATTGAGGGTTAAGGAAACGGATCTTCTTATACATTCCTGGTGGGAGAACAGGTCCATATAGTCTTTCTGTTGGAGACAAATACAGATCGCCTTTGATCTGCTTTATCTCAATACAAGAGTTTTATTATAAATAATAAAATAAAATTTCATCACATACATAAACCAGGTGATTTATAACATCTTGCTGGGCGCGATGGCTCACACCTATAATCCCAGCACTTTGGGAGGCCAAGGTGGAGCAGATTACCTGAGGTCAGGAGTTCAAGACCAGCGTGTCCAACATGGTGAAACCCTGTGTCTACTAAAAATACAAAAATTAGCCAGGCATGGTGGTGTATGCCTGTAATCCCAGCTACTTGGGAGGCTGAGGCAGGAGAATCACTTGAAACAGGGAGGCGGAGGTTGCAGTGAGCCAAGATCACGCCACTGCACTCCAGCCTGGGTGACAGAGTGAGACTCCATCTCCAAAAAAAAAAAAGAAAAAGAAAAAGAAAAGAAAAAAAAAAAAGAATATAATAACAAGAGGCAAGAAACAAGTATTTAATGTGTAGGTATTAACTGAACAAATTACAATACAAGGATGTAGTAAAATACATTAATCTGCTTAAGGTAATAGTATAGGTAAATACTCATAGAGAATGTTTATTACATTTTGTAAGTGAATAAAGCAATTTAAGATGAAATTATACAGTCTTTTGAAAAATGAACATGAAAGGTGACTCAGTAAAATGAGTGGGAGAGGGAATATGACCCAAGTATTAACAGCGTGTATTAACCAAAAAATGAGGGAGGGTTAAAACATCACATATGAAATTATAGGAAGACACTCATCATATATCAGATGAAAAATGTTGCAAAGTAATACATATAGAATGAAGATAATTTGCTAAAACTACTAATATTAAACTATAAAAAATAATATTTTGATATGCTTTTAGTGAAAAGTTGCATTTTATCCAATAATTCATAAACCCTACATGCCATTTGATAAAATGGAAGGTTTTAATTTAAAAAGCGAAGGTGGTATAAGCATTTTTTAACCTACTTAAAAATTTATATTCTTGTGGTGAGATTATGACTCTTTTATTCTTCTTCACAATTTTCTGGGTTTTCTCAGCACTGAACACTTAATCATCTTGTAAACGATAAATTACTTTGTAAAGACTGTACACTTATTCAGGAAATAAAGCATGATTTTATGAGATAGAAACAGTAAAATTCTCTGTTCAGTGAGTTACAGAATTCTAGTGCTGAAATGGCTCTCTGAACTAATGTAGATCAAAAGGTTCATTTATTTATAAATAAATCCAGTTCAAGAGAGGTTGTGAAATGAGTTAAATTTGGGGAATTAAATTCAGTGAGTATTTACTAGTGCAAGTGCTATGCTAGGTGCTGGGTTATCTATTTGAAGAAGGGTTTCGAGAAGTTCTTGGTCTTGTAATAGAGTCAAACAAGTAAACAAAACGTGTCAGTGAAACCTGAACAGCACAGTGAAATATACATAATGTCAGATTAGAGGAAGTTTCTTCAAGGAGTCAGCCAATGCCAGCAATTCAAAAATAAAAACATGTTTGTGACAGGTAGGGAGGGTAACCAGAGTGTGAAGAAATAGAAGGAATCTCATGCAAAGACATGGATTATGGGACAGAAATATGCTAAGCTGGTTACAGAAATGGTATGAGGACTATTTTCTGCTGACCCCAGTCATAATGCTGGATTTCAGAATAATTGGCAGACATGAAAAGACATAAATCATTGCATCTGTCTCACCAAGTCAGGGAAATAGAATCAGGTGAGCTGCATGGAAACCTTAACAGTGCTACAGGTTTCCTTGGGAAATATACTTCTAATTCAATAGGCAGACACCATTAAGATGGGTACTAACTTTGTAAATGTCTCACAGGGGAAGTCACACACTCTAGCATCAGGATGCCTGAATTCCAGCCCTGGCTAACCCTGAATACACTGAACATTTTGGACAGGTAATTTTCTTCCCTGTTAGATAGGGTACTCTTCAATCTTTGTTCTGGTATATATAAAGCTGTATGATATTTATCCAAACCATTACTGAATTGTCTTATTCAAAACATTTTTGTTTCCCCAAGTAGAGAGCCAATAAAATCAAACATCTTATTTTTAAAGAAGAATAGAAAAGGGAAGAGGAGAGGAGAGAAGAAAAAGGAAGGAAGGAAGGAGAGAGGAAATAGGAAAGGGAATAGAGAGAAATCAAAAGGAAAAGAAAATAAAAGAATGTTTTTGTGGCATGTGGGTGCTTACTAACAAAACATAAAACCTGAAAAACAATTATTTATTAAACATGGCAGTACAGACAGCTAGGAGCCGGACACAGTGGCTCATGCCTGTAATCCCAGCACTTTGGGAGGCCAAGGTGGGCGAATCACTGGAGGTCAAGAGTTCGAGACCAGCCTGGCCAACATGGTGAAATCCCATCTCTACTAAAAATACAAAAATTAGCTGGGCGTGGTTGTGGGTGCCTGTAATCCCAGCTACTCAGGAGGCTGAGACAGGAGAATTGCTTGAACCTGGGAGGTAGAGGTTACCGTGAGCCAAGATCACGCCACTACAGTCCAGTCTGGGAGACAGAGCAAGACTCTGTCTCAAATAAATAAATAAAGCTAGGTTAATTAAATATATTCTTAAAAAGTAAAATCAATATTAAGCCTAATTCTTTAAAGAAGCTAATAAGTGGAGGCAATATTTATCTAAACTGTTTTATTGATAATCTCATAATTATCAATTTATGTGATACTTTATCTGTTTATTTCTTATAACAACCATACTGCTTTTTCAAATGTAATTTTTCTTAAAAAAACACAATATAGGTAAAAGAAAAATGCTACATGTCATGCCATTAAAATTTCCAATTCCTATGTGGCTAATTCATCATTGATTTGGTTCTTTGCAATGCCCTATGATTGTAATAGCCAAAATGTCAAAAGATCAAATTAGTATTTCACTTGTGAATAAGGTCATACCTTAAACCCAGCCACATTTTTGAATAAAGGTTGCTGAAACACTTTTGATTAAACCTATACTGAAAAGACAGTGAGTTGACATTCAGGGAATCAGGGATATTGAATGGGTGGTATGAACCCATCAGTATCACTAAAGGGCTTATACTACCTGGTCAAGGCACCTAAACTCTAAATATGCACCAAAGACAGGTCTTCCTGCAGTCTCTAAACAGCTTCACACTTGAGTTTCCAAACCTGAGCTTCCTTTGCGGTTGTCATTGATGGTTAGGGCGAGAGATAATTTTGCTGCACCATAATTATGATCTCAGCCTTAACCCTGCTCTCTGATTTCTATTTTGGTCACATTTGGGAGGCAAGGTTCTATGCAGGCAGGCATGTGGACTCTGTTGTCAGGCATCTGCCCATTGGAAGTCTGGCTCAGACAGCTCCTCTTGGAAAAGTTAGTGATGATAATGCAAGTAGGAGCCCTTACGGTGGCATCTGGCACAAGTGAGGGTCAATAAATATAGCTGAAAAAAAGAAGAAAAATTTCCCTACTATCAAATCTTCTCTTCAACCTGAGCCCAATGTTCATCTCCCTCACTGTTCCTATCACCTTCCACTTACCTGTCTTCTTCATATGCGCTGAGGTCCTTGAAACCAGAAAGAGTGGAGCTTAATTTAAATTCATCTCAATATCTTCAGCTTTAATCTCACTCCCCAGCCCAAATGAGATGCTCAGTAAGGTCTGATGGGTGATTGAATGGATGGATATTGACCAAATATTGTATTCAGCATCCCTATCTATGTATTGCCTTCCTGAGGTGAGGCTTCTCTCTCTCCTGGGTCCATTCTTCCCCTCCTCAGAAAACCTAATACCACCTCTGCAGTTCCTTTAACCTCTTGATTTCACTCTCAACTTTGACAGCCATGCCTAGTGGGCCTCATTCAGGAGCAGTTTTCAAGTCATTAATGGGGCTTCATTGCAACATGATTTTCAGAGTTAAAAACAACAAAGTTAAAGTAGTTAACAAAGTAAAGTCATGATTTTGTACCATGGTTCAAAGAGAGATAAATGCAGCTACTCACAGTATTCCCAAGTATCTCTATCCACTAGGGAGAAAGAAATGGATTATGGGAGTAGGGAGGAAGATGGAATTGAAGGAGCCAGTTCAAGATGCCCTACCCAACTCTCCTAGGCTCCCGTGAGGAGGTGGGTGTTGAAACAGGATTGAAGATGCTTTCAAGGGCCTATTTATCCTTAGCTTCCTGGAGGTAGATATGTTAGTGAAAGTTGCTCAGAGCTAGTCCTGTCTGCATTACCCACTTTTGAGGCAATGACTGCATTTAAGATGAGTTAATCTCATCTTTTGTTAAATATCTCACAGGAATATGATATTCCAGTACAGGAGATGAGGTTTGGAACTATTTATCATTAACCTCAGGAGGTTTATTTAGTAGCTCTGATCTGCATGGCTGCAAGAATTACACACACTTTCTTCTCTTTTCACTGCTTCTGACAGAAGTTGCTGCTTTCTGGCACCTGCCACCAGCATTTATCCTGCCCAAATCTATTTCAATTCCATTTTATTTTGGCAGACTCTTTTCTGCAAAGCACCCTGCCATTAGCTTTCTGCTGCTTTTAGCTAATGTGGAACACAAACTTTCTTTGGCCTGCATAATTGGCAGCAGCCATGTCCCTTCCCACCTTGCTTCCAGGGAAGGTGGTTTTTGAAATTTGAGGAAATTTGGTTAAAGAAGAAAAGACAGCACTCTAGGATTAGCATCATGGTTAAGCCTGGAGACACCCAAAAAATTTGGAACAGCCCTCTGAAGAGGCAGAGTTCTACTAGCCCTTCATAGGATGGGCTGTGCAAATAGAATTGTCTTAAAAAGCAAAGGAGAGGTTGCAGACCCTTCAAATTAATCACTGCCAAAATTGCTTTCCATCATCAGAAGAAGCAGTAATTAGAAATGAAATACAGAGAATTAAATTGTGGGAGAAAAAAGGAACAGAACTGTATGTAAAGTGGTAGTGGCAGATCATAGAGCTGAAAATGTAAATGCAATCTCAGGTCTCACATCAGGGAATAAGGTTTCTTTTTTTTTTTTTTTTTTAAAGGGCATGACAAAGCATTATATAAAGAAAACAATCATGTCTCCCCAAATCACTCAGTATTAGATAGATTTGTGATCTTTCACATAAACTTTGAGCTTAAAGATACTCTAACAGGATGTTTCTCATAGTAGTGGCCACAGACCATCTAAATCAAGGAACTTGGGGTGCTCCTTAATGTAAATGTCTAGGTCTTTAGAATCCAAATTTGTGAAAGTTAGGCCTAAGAATATGCCATCTTACTAAGTACCCAGGTGATTTTTAAACTTTCTTTAAAAAGGCCCCTTCTCTTAAAACTACATTCCGAACAAAGTAACCAAAGCAATGGTACATCAGTGGGACCACATCAGTTGGCCACATCAGTGTGGCCAACACTGTGGGACTGTTCACTCTGTAGGTGGGACAGAGCCCGCAAAGGCCAGATATGTGCAGTGATACATGGATTCCAGAAGCCCTAGAGTAGAACCCAGGTAAGGCCAAGTGGTTACCACTTGCCTTGATATGCAGGTGTCCCTTCTCATTCAGCTGGTCTGTTAGTCAGGCAAGAAACCTATATTCCAGGTTTATTATGACAGACACTGCATTCCCTGCCAGAAATACAGCCACACACGAGATAGCTCCACTGAATTTGCATTCTTTCACTGGGCAAAGATGTTAAACACTTGCAATTAGCTATTTAAATACAACCTGCCACAGGTTCTGTGAAGCATAAGAGGGGAGCATGAGCATTTATCAGGAGGGAAGTAACTTGGTCTGGCAAGTTGAAGAAGACTCTGCAGAAGAGTCAAATAAATCACGTACTGAAGAATGAACAAAGATTAGCTCAGAGAAGGGGGAAAGAGTAGACAGCATTCCAGGCAGGGAGAAGAGCTGTTGTAAAGATTCTGGGGGCAAGAAGGAGCTTGATCTGTTTAAGAAACTGAAAGGAGTCCAACTGGCATAGACAAGGTGCAGTCAGGATCCAATCCTTCTATCATCTTAGGAGTCCATGAGCAGAATTTGAGTCCCAGAAGATGAAAAACCATTAAATATTTGGGAGTGAGAATAATGTGATCAAATACTTATTCTTAAGACTTGGCTAGGCCGGGCACAGTGGCTCATGCCTGTAATCCCAGCACTTTGGGAGACTGAGGTGGGTGGATCACCTGAGGTCAGGAGTTCAAGACCAGCCTGATCAACATGGTGAAACCCCATCTCTACTAAAAATACAAAAATTAGCTGGGCATGGTGGTGGGCACCTGTAATTCCAGCTACTCAGGAGGCTGAGGCAGGAGAATCGCTTGAACCTAGGAGCTGGAGGTTGCAGTGAGCTGAGATCTCGCCATTGCACTCCAGCCTGGGTGACAAGAGTGAAACTCTGTCTCAAAAAAAAAAAAAAGAAAGAAAGAAAGAGAGAAAGAAAGAAAGACTTGGCTGCAGTGTAGAGCATGCCCTGATGGAATCTAGGGATGGCTACATATGGAGGGCAAGAGGAAAAGGCTCATGAATAACTCTGACATTCTGGTTTGTAAACTAGGTAGAGAGCAGCAATATTCTCTAAGACCAAGAATGAGCCAGAGGAAAGTTTTCTGGGTTAAAATCATGAGTTGGACTTAAACGTGTTGAGATGGAGGTACCTGGGATGCGTTAGAATGGAGTTGCTCAGCAGGCAGTTATAGCCAAGAGCCAAGAGAGGTGATCTGAGCTGACCCCAGATGTATGAGCAGCAGTATGGGAACAAGGAAACCTCAGTTAGGGACAAAATGACCCCTCAGAAGAATAAAGAGAGAAGAGAGCTCAGGGACTGCCTGAGCATGGTAGAACTCTAACAGATGAAGGTCAGGATGAAGCAGGAGGTGAGGTGAAGACAAGTACTCAGGGGAAAACAAGTGATGTGTCATAGGGTCCAAAGAAATAAAGTTTTGCCCAAAAAGAGGATGCTGGATACAGCTTAGAGATAAAGGATGATGCCTTTTGAAACTAGTGATGTGCTGGTCACCAGTGAAATTAAAACAGGCCTTTTGAGTGGGATGGTGGGAAAATGGCACATATCTGAGTTGACCGAGGCTCAAGTGAGAGACGACGATGCAAGTCACAGCTTGTCTCCACAACTCTTGAGAAAGAAGTTTGGCTGTAAAGGGGAGAGAGCTATGGAGGCAACTGGAGGGAAATGATTTGAAGGAAGGGTTTTGTTTCTCTTATGCTGCTTTGTCTTTAGCAAAAGAAGAGCCATGAGCATGTATAATCCATAGTGAGAAAGATTCAGGACAGGGGGAGGCATTGAAAACAGAGAGCAATGAATTCTTCCTTCAAAGGTGGGAAAGGATTCATCTTGGCAAAGAAATCAGCCTCACCTAGGAAGAGGGCCCTACTCTGTAACAGGAAGGAAAGAGGATGTTTCCTCCTGTAACAGGAAGGAAAGAGGGTGTTTCCTCCTGTAACAGGAAGGAAAGAGGGTGTTTCCTCCTGTAACAGGAAGGAAAGAGGGTGTTTCCTCCTGTAACAGGAAGGAAAGAGGGTGTTTCCTCCTGTAACAGGAAGGAAAGAGGATGCAGGTGGGAGAGGGTGGGAGGTGGATGGATTTATTCACTCTTATTTTCTTTCTGAGGCAGGAACTCCCTCCTCCAATGGGAGTGGGAGGAGGAGGAACCGGAGGCACGAGGAGAGGGGACATTTGAAATTGACTTGGCACAAGAAGTGAGAGTTGGCCAGGGAAACATGGTTAAATTTCTGGGCAGTGTTGACAGTCCTGTTACTAAGAATCTACTATAGAGCCTGCAGACTCCAAATGATAAAAATGCTAAACCTACTGGGAAAAACTGAAAACCATGCGATGAGTAACAACAAATCAGCAAAGTGAAACCTGTGAGAGAAGCATGTACTAAATATTGGAGGAACATGTAGGACACAGTAAATAACTACTCAGAAGAGCTGAGAGGCTTCCAGAGGAGGGATGGTGTAAACAGAGGATGCGTGAGTGCTGTGCCATGGCCAGTGCCCGTGGGGGCCAGCTTTTACACTAGATCAAGTCAAGTGGCATGAACACACAGAAAGCCCCATCTCATTGTCAAGTGGCTGGCCTGAGGAATCAACCAGCCGAACTCTCACATTGCCCATGTGTAAGCTCAGCAAGGAAGTGACTTCCCCAGTTGTATTAGTCAGCTCAGGCTGCCAAACAAACTACCACAGACTGAGCTGCTGAAACAACAGACAATCATTATCTCACAGTTGTCAGCACCAAGAAGAGCAAGGTGTGGGCAGGGTTGGTTTCTCCTGAGGCCTCTCTCCTTGGTTTGCCGACGGCTTTCTTCTCCCTCACATGGTTTTATCTCTATGTGTGTGCATCCCTGGTGTCTCTTTTTATGCGTACATTTCCTGTTCTTATAAGGATCCACCCATTTGATGTCATTTAGTCCTCATTGCCTTTTTTAAAGTCCTAGCTATAGTCACATGCTGAGGTACTGAGGGTTAAGACTTCAACAAACAGGGAACACAGTTCAGTCCGTACCACCAGCGCACAGCTAGAAGGCCAATAAAAGAGAGAATAGCCCCATAACTTATGATTGTAAGTAGAATTCTTTTTCCATCACACCAAGGCAGTGTATCTCCAGATGTGATGCATGGACTAGCAGCGTCTCCTGAGAACTCGTTAGAAATGCAAGTTCTCAGGCCCCATCCTGGACCTCCTGAGTCAGAAGATTTGGGGGTGAAACCCAATAATCTGTGTTGTAACAAACTCTCCAGGTCATCATTCAGTTGTGAGATCACTAAATTTCTCAGGAAGCTGACTAGTTAATTCAGTGATTTATGTATATTCTAAACATTACACTAAGCAGTTAATATATACTAAACATTATAAATTCAATGATTTATGTATATTGAGCCTTGGAAAAGCCTTTTCAAAAAATAAAAATTATTAAAATTATTTTAAAAAAGGACCCAAAGGGACTGCAATGGCAGATGTATAACCATAAGAAAGAGGATAAATATAGGCATTGTGCCTGGATGAGAGTTTCATGCTGAACCTCGTGAGGGTTTGGGCAAATCAGATAACATCTCTAAACCTCAGTTTAGAGGTTTAGAAAATAACTGTGAGAAATGAATGTCTGTTGTTTAAGCCGCTCAGTCTGTGGCAGTTTGGCAGCCCAAGCTGCCAATACAACTACAACTTGGGGAAGTCATAATACAACTGGGGAAGTCATTTTCTTGAAGCGCTTACACATGGGCAACGTGAGAGTTTGACTGGTTGATTCCTCAACCCAGCAGCTCGGCAGTGGGATGGGACACTCTGTGTGTTCATGCCACTTGACTTGATCTAGAGTAAAAGCTGGCCCCATGGGCACTGGCCATGGTACAGCACTCACACAGCCTCTGTTTACACAGTCTCTCCTCTGGAAGCCTCTCAGCTCTTCTGAGCAGTTATTTACTCTGTGCTACATGTTCCTCCAACATTTAGCACACAGTTCTTTTGTAGGTTTCACCATGCTAATTTGTTGTTACTCATCGCACAGTTTTCATTTTTTTCGCAGTAAGGTTAGCATTTTTATCATTTAGAGTTCGCAGTCTCTATAGTAGATTCTTAGTAACAGGGCTCTCAACACTGCCCAGAAATCCAAATCACATCTCTATAACATCCAGTAACAGAGATATGAAAGTCTGTTTGCAAACTGGTTGTAATGATGAAGTGAGAAAATCCAAATCATGTAAAGTGCCTATCATAGTGTCCGATCCACTTCAGGCAGCTAATAAATAGTTTCTTTCTCCATGAAGAAGTGACTTCCACACTCTGCGGTGCAGAGACAAGGACAAAAGTGCAGTTGCAGGCATCGGTCTTCATAACTCATTTCTACGGAGCTACTAGGGTCCCTATGATTAAAAAGTATATATTTTATATTTTATTTTGTCTTCATCAATCCCTCAGAAAAGCAAGGAGTGAGTTATTTCAGAGCTATCCCTTAAAAAACTATTTCTGAAGACATATGGCATCTGTAGAGAGAAGGGGTGCCCATAGGCAGGTGCAGCCCAGGAGTAGGAATCAATAACAAAAGAGTAATCTTTGAGGGCACCAATAGGAGGAGAAAGGCTTTTGTAAATGGCTATTCTAGAAATTGAATTTCTCTAGTGTAGATCACATACACACACAACACAAAAAGCAACTAAATCACTTTACTTAGAAGACATTAATGCACACTGTGTCCAATATCCTGAGCTAATGTTGTGATTAAGTTACATCTACTAAGTAACATAAACTGGACTTAGGTTGAGGCCTCATGTGGAGTTTTATAGGAGGAATTTGAAGAATATAATAAAATTGGCAAATGTAGGCAATCTCATATCAAATTTGTTTTAATGCATCCTAGACTTACTTCTTATTTGGTAATGAAATACTTAAATTGATTCTTAAATAATATACATTTCAGTTCCCAGATTTATAATTTGAATGATAACTAAAATTACATTTTTATGTCATATTTTATAATGGCAATAAAAACATAAGTTTTCTTTCTTCAGGGTTCTTTCTTAAATTCAAAACATCACTCTTTTTCATATAGCATTAGCTTTTATTGCACGTGTTTTATTTCCAAATTATTTACATGGGTTTTTTAATAATGTTCTCCAAATTCAGAACATAAAATTATCGTTTCTAAAACAGATGTATAAGCATAATAAAGAGGATATATATATCCTATATAGAGGATATATATAGGCAATACATCTTCAACATAAATTATTCTAACTTCTCACGATAACAAAATGTTTATGAGAACCTAATAATCATAGTTTCATTAAATTCGATCTTACATATAAAAGTTAACTAATATTTTTTAAAACTGAATGCTCAGAAATTAAACCTTTAGGCAAAATGCTAATAATCAAAAAAGAAATAATGTGTATGTCCAGTTTAAATAAATTTTGACATAAACGGTAGAATGTAGAGACCAATTATGATATATGCAGGGAATATTACTACATAGAAATTACACAAGCAATTACATAGATGAATTTCAGAGACAAAATAATACTTAGAAAAAAACACAGACTTCTATATATACTGTATGATTCCTTTTATATAAAGTTCAGAAACAGGCACAATTATTCTAAAGTAATTCAATTACCCTTGTGAGGAGGGATTTGACCTGGAGAGGATGTGAGGGTGCCTGCTGAAGTACTGGGAAAGTTCTAGCTCAATCTGGGTGGTGGTTACGCAGGTATGTACCATGGAAAAATCCATCTGGTTGTACAATTAACATCTGTGCCATTTACTATAAGATGTATGCAGTTTATGTTAGTGAAAATAAATTTAGAACACTATTCTTAAATAAATATGTAATTTATATGTAAAGGTAAGGAAAAACATTGTTACCAAAGAGAAAATGCAAATGGCTAATAAATATGAAGAGAGGCTCAAGTTGCGGAAATTCAGTTTAGCTTGTTATAATACTGTTTTGGTAGGAAGAAGTCTAAAGTGGCCCCCAATGACTCAAACCCATGTACAATCCCCTCCCCTTGAGTGTGAGTGAGACCCTGAATACACACTGTCACTCCCACAATTAAACTACGTCATATGACAAAGGTGAAGACATTTTACAGATCTCATTAAGAACGCTAATCAGTTGCCTTTAAATTAATCAAAACAGATTATCCTGCTCACTTTGAAGAAGTAAACTTCCAGTTTACTTCTGACAGAGCTCTTATAAAATTTTTTATGCCAAAGGGTAATTCTATCACTTTAGTATGATTGTGCCTGTTTTTGAGCTTTATGTAAAAGGAATTATATAGTATTACAAAAGTTTGTTAATTCTATAAATGTATTTTTTGCTTATCTAATTTCTATGTAGTAATATCCTCCTGCATATATCATAATTGGGATACTGTTTATGTCAAGATTTATTTTAACTGGACATACACATTATTTTCTCTTTCGGTTATTAGCATTTTGCCTAAGTTTAATTTCTAGCATTCATTTCCTTTGAGATACATTTTTTAATAACTTTTATATGTAAGAGAGAATTTAAAGAAAATATGATTATTAGATTCTTGTAAACATTTTATCACATAGCTAAGACCTGAGGGTGACTTCTCAGAATTGAGAGCAGCCCCCAGCTGACAGCCAGCCAAAAAATGGGCACCTCAAGGAACTGATTCTGCCAAAGACCTAAACAAGCTTGGAAGAGACCCCTGAGCTCTAGATAAAAATGCACTCTTAATAATACATTTATTCAGCTTTATGAGATCCTAAGCAGAGAACTTGTTGGGCTGTGCCCAGCCCCTTGACCAAAAGAAACTGTGAGAAAATAAATAGGTATTGTTTTAATCTGTTCTGTTGATGGTAATTTATTAATAGCAATAGAAAACTAAAATAAATTTTGGAAACTGGAAATGGAGAAGTGACATAACAAATATTAAAAAAGTAAGGGTAACTTGAAATCATGGAATGGGTTTGGATGAAAGAGTTTTTGGAATCACGCTAGAGGAAACTTAAATTTCCTTGGTTAGATCATTAGTTTTTTAAAAAAAAAAAAAAACCTTAGCAAAATTGTCTTCTGCAGTTATGTGGTTATGTGGAAAACAGAATTTGTTAGCAACAAAGTTGGATATTTAGCTAAGGAGATTTCCAAAAAAGAATTGAAGGTGCTGCCTGGTTTCTACTGGAACTTCCAGTAAAATGAGAGAGGAGAGCGATAAAATGAGGAAAGAAATGTTAAGCAAACAAGTAAACAAAAAATCAGTAAAGAAACTGGTAAAATTTTGATAAGTTTCAGCCTCAACAGGTTAAAAAAAAGAAAAGGTAGCAAAAGTCAAGAAAAGCTATTGATAACATGGCAGAAAAAAAAAAAGGCTGAGTATGTGATTACAGAACCTTCTGCTCAAACGTCAAAAAGCTCACAAAATGCCAGTATTTAGTCAGAAAATTGGCCCCCTAAAAAGATTAAGAGGATAGAGTGACATCAGCAAGATGTCTGATTAGGAAGTCCAAACTCCCCTGTCCCTATGGAAACACTAAATAAACAACTACAGACTGACTAAAACAACTTTACAAGAGCTCTGGAAATTAGTCTAAGATCTATAGCAACCAACCAAACTCCCAATCAAAAACAAACAAACAAAACACATTGAAATGGTAGGAAAAATTCTGTGGTGTTTTACTTGACTTTGCTCACCTCTTCCCATATTGGTGGGGTCAAAGAAATGGCTCAATTCCTGATCTCTCCTTCAGGGCAGAAAGAGCAAAGTGCAAATCGTTTTCAAAATTCTTGCCTGGTTGTAGAGTGCCCAAAGGACTAGTGTCTGTTTTACCTGATTCAGCAAGCACACAAGAATAAGAGCATAGTTTAGATCTAAGATTGGAAACCATGGAAGGCATTTGGTGGGCAACAGAGCACATGAAAACTAAAGGAGGAGTGCAGGCGTATGGGTGCCTGAGGCAAAAGATTATAGATAGGGGAATACATTAGAACATTTGAGGCACTGGGATAAAAAGGTGAGACTTTCTGAAAAACTAAGGCATTTGAAAGTGGCCAAGGAACATCAGAAGAAAGAGGCAAAAGCACACACTTACACAGGCTCAGATAGGCTACATGCCCAGAAAATAACTATGAAGACCATAAGCCGTTACCCCAGGCTGATCTCAAGACCCAGGGGATCACTAATTAGCAGAAGTATTCCACACCAATTTGCAAAAATTAGGAGAAGTGGCTATTTTATCAAGTGCACAGTTCCCAACAAACGATTATTTAGACAAAGAAAAACAGGGAAATCTTACCCATTAAAAGGAGAAATAGTTTCTAGAAACAGTCTCTGAAGAAACACATACTACATAAAGATTTTAAAGCAACTGTCAAATAATCTCCAAAAGCTAAAGGAAAACATGGATAAAGAACTAAAGAAAATCAGGAAAGCAATATATAAATAATATATAAACCAAAGACATAGATTGGCAGCATTGACTAAAAATCAGGATCCAAATGCATGCCTTCTACAAGAGACACATTTTAAGTCTATGGATACACATAGATTAGAAGTAAAATGATGGAAAAGCCATTTCATGCAAATAGTAACCAAAAGGCAGAAGGGTGGCTATTCTAATATCAGATAGAATAAACTTTAAGTAGAAAGTAAATGCAAAAGACAAAGAACATTATGTTGACCCTTTAAAAAAAGAGTCAATTCACTAAGAAGACGTACCAATTAGAGATGCATAGATACCCATCATGAGAGCTCATAACATATGAAGCAAATACTGGCAGAAATGAAGGGAAAAATAGCACTATAGTAATAGTAGGAAACCTCAATACCTCACTCTCAATAATGGATAGAATAACCAGATAGACTATCAACAAAGACACAGAGAATTGAACAACACTATAGAACTATTGTACGTAAATGACATAAACAGATCACTCTACTCAACAACAGCAGAATATACATTTTTCTTAAGTGTATACGAAACATTCTCAAGGATAGATCACATGTTATACTACATAACAAGTCTTAATACATTTTAAATAAGATTGAAATCACACAAAATGTATTTTCTGAACATAGTGGAAAGAAATTAGAAATCAACAACAGAAAAAAAAAACAGAAAAATTCACAAATATGTGGAAATTTAAAACACAGTCAAAATAACAAATGGATCAAATAGTAAATCACAAGAAAAGTTAGAAAATATCTTGAAACGAATGAAGTGAAAACACAACATACCAAAATTTCTGGGTTGCAGTAAAAGCAGCACTAAGAAGGAAATGTATAGCTCTAAATTCTTCTCTTATATGAGAAGAAAGACTTCAAGTAAACATTCTAACATGATTCCTTAAAAAATAAGAAAAGAAGAAAAAAGCTAAACCTAACCCTAGCAGAAATAATGGAGTAAATACTAAAGCAGAGATGAATAAAATACAAAGTTGAAAAACAATAGGGAAAAATCAATGAAGTCAATAATTTGTTCTTTAAAAAAGATAAACGGAATAGATAAACCTTTAGCTAGATTGACTAAGAAAAAAAGAAAGAAGGTTCAAATAACTGAAGTCAGAAAAGAAAGTGTTACTGCCAATTTTACGGAAACAAAAAGATTATAACAATAGTATGAACAATGTGTACCAACATATTTGATGACCTAGATAAGATGGATAAATTCCTAAAACACACAAACTTTTAAGACTGAATCAAAAAGCAATTGAAAATCTGAGTAAACCTATAACTAGTGAGGAGATAGAATCAATAATTAAAATATTCCCACCAAAAAATAAAAATAAAAATAAAGCTCAGATGTCTTCACTGGTAAATTCTACCAAACCTATAAAGAATTAGCAACAAGCCTCCTAGAACTCTTTGAAAAAATTGAAGAGGAGAATAAACTTCCTAATTCATTGTATGAGGCAATGCTAGCCTCACAGAATGAGTTATGAAGCCAAAGGAACTACCAAAAAAAAAAAAAACCTTACCAACTAATATTCCTTATGAATATTGATACAAAAACTCTCAACAAATACTGGCATACCAAATTTGACAGTATATTAAAATGATTACACATCATGACAAGGGAGGATTTATTCCTGAAAGGCAAGGATGAGTCAACATACAAAAAAAAGTCAAGTTAATACCACACATTAAAAGGATAAAATTTTTAAAACCTATGGTCATTTCAATTGACACATAAAGAACTTTTACAAAATTCAGCACTTTGTTATGATAAAAACACTTAACAAACTAGAAATAAAAGGAAACTACCTAAACATAATAAAGGCCATCTATGAAAAACCCACACCCAATATTGTACTCAATATTGAAAGACTAAAAATGTTTCCTCTAAGATCAGGAATATGACAAAGATGCTCACTTTCACCACTTCTATTCAAGATAGCACTGGAAGTCCTAGCCAGCTCAATTAGGCAAAAAAAGAAATAAAAGTCATCCAAATTGAAAAGGATGAAGTAAAATTATCTTTGTTTGCAGATGACAGTCTTACATGTATAAAACTCTAAAAAATACACATACATACACATAAACACAAAATGTTAGTACTCATAAACAAATTCACCAAAGTTTCAGGATACAAAATCAATACACAAATATTAGTTGCACTTCTTCCATTAGCAATGAACAATCTGAAAACAGAAATTAAGAAAATCATTTCATTTACAATAACATAAAAGAGAATAAAATACTAAAGAATTAACTTAATCATGAGGGCAAGCAACTTGTACACTCAACACTACAAAATGTTACTGAAGAAAATGAAAAAGACACAAACAGGTGGAAGGATAGTCTATGTTCATGGATTGGAAAACTTAATATTTTTGAGATATCAATACCACCCAAAACTATCTAAACTAATCAATACAATTCTTCTAAAGTTTCTAATGACATTTTGGAGAAAAAGAAATATTAATCTTAAAATCCATACAGAATCCCAAGAGGCCCTGAATAGCTAAAACAATATTGATAAATATGAAGAAATTTGGAGAATTCCCACTTTCTGATTTCAAAGGTTACTACAAAGCCATGGTAATCAAAACAGTGTGGAACTGGCACAAAAACAGACGTAAAGACCAATGGAATAAAATAGAGAACTCAGAAGAAAATGTTCACATATATGGTCAATTGGTTTTCAACAAATGAGCCAAAACCATTCAGTGAGAAAAAGTCATTTCCATAACTGATGTGGGGAATACTGGATATCCATATGCAAGAGAATAAAAATGGACACCTACCATACACAGTATAGAAAATTAACTCAAAATAAATCAAAGACCTTAATGTAAAAGCTAAAACTATAAACTTCTTGGAAGAAAACACAGGAAAAAACTTCAGGATATTGCAGTTGCCAGTGATTTTTTGGGTTTGCCACCATAAGCACAGGCAACAACAACAACAAAATAGGTAAGCTAAATTCCATCAAAATTAAAAACTTTAGTACAAGAAAAACTACAATTAATAGAGTAAAAAGGTAGCCCATGGAAAGAGAAAAAAATTGCAGATTATATTTCTAATATGAGATTAATATCCAGAAAACAACGAACTTCTACAAGTCACCACCACAACAAAAACCAACCCCATTCAAAAATGGGCAAAGGCCTTACTAGAGGATTCTCCAAAGAAGATATGCTAATGGCCAATAAGCACATGAAAAGGTGCTTAACATTACTAGTCCTTAGGGAAATGCAAATCAAAACCACAGTGAGATACCACTTCACACCCATTAGGATGATTATTATTTAAAAGGTGGAATAACAAGCATTGGTGAAGATATGGAGGAACTGGAGCCCTAGTTCAGGCTGGTGGGAATGTAAAATGGTGCAACCACTGTGGAAAATGATACAGCAATTTCTCAAAAAATCAAACATACCATAGGATCCAGTAATTCCATTTCTTGTTATATGCTCAAAAAAAGTAAAAGCAGGGGGCTTGAACAGATATTTGTACATCAATTTTCATAGCAGCATTATTACAGTAACTTAAAGATGAAAGCAACACAAATGTCCATCAACAGATAAATGGATAAACAAAATGTGATACATACATATAATGGAATATTATTCAGCCTTATAAAAGAATGAATTTCTGTCACTTGCTTCAACATGGATAAACCCTGAAACTCTTACTCTAAGTGAAATAAGCCAGTCACAAAAGGGCAAATACTGTATGATACCATTTATATGAGGTAGTTAAATTCACAGCCACACAGGCTAGAATGGTGGTTTCCAGGAGCTGGGGGAGGGAGAAATGAGGAGTTGTTGTCTAATTGGTACAGAGTTTCAATTTGAGAAGATAAAAAAGTTCTGGAAATGGATGATGATGATGGTTGCACAATAATGTGAATGTGCGTAATGCCACTGAGCTGTATACTTAAATATGGTTAAAATGGTAAAATTTATATTATGTATATTTTACCACAGTAAAAATATATATCATATATAATACATAAATATATATGTATATAAATATATGTACTTATATTATATATTTATCATATATAAAAACACATTTGCTAGTTAATTTTCCATTTGATATTTTCTATTACCAAAAAACGTCCTAGATGAAAAAAATATTTTTTGAGTACTGTACTTATTTTTATTTTTCTTTGTTTTTTAATTATTTTCAGTTGCTAAAATTCACATAGTGCAAATCTACCAAAGATCTCAAGGGGGCTATAGAATCCTTCAGCTACTCAGTTTCCTCCCCTAGAGGCAAACTCCATTACCAGCATCTTTTTACCCTTCCAAAGATATTTTACATGTATGTGTTTGAATGCACACTTGGTAGATTTTATTTCTTTTTTTTTTAACCTGTCATAAACTATTATTTGTTTATTATTATAGTTGACAAATAAAAATTATATTTATCATATACAACATGATGTCCTGAAATATGTATACCTTGTGAAGCGGCTAAACCGAGCTAATCAACATATGCAATACCTCACATAGTTTTTTGTGATGAGAAAACTCATCTATTCTTTTAGAGATTTTCAACAATACAAAACGTTATTAACTACAGTCACCATGTTGTACAATAGATCTCTTGAACTTATTTCTCCTATATAACTGAAATATTGTATCCATTTACCAACATCTCCTCACCACATCCCCTCCCAGCCCCTAGTAACCACAATTCTACTCTCCATTTCTATGATTTCAACTTTTAAAAATTCTGCATATATGTGACATTATGTAGCATTTGCCTTTCTGTTCCTAGCTTATTTCACTTAAAATAATGTTCTCCAGGTTCATCCATGTTGTCACAAATGACAGAATTTGCTTCTTTTTTAAGACTGAATAGTATTCTACTATGTACATATGCCATATTTTCTTTATCCATTCATCTGTTGATGAACACTTAGGTTGATTCCATGTCTTGGCTATTATGAATGGTGCTGCAATAAACATTAGAGTGTAGATATTTCTTTAATATACTGATTTCATTTCCTTGGATATATACCAAGTAATGGGATTCCTTGATCATATGGTGGTTTTATTTTTAATTTTTTAAAGAACTTTCATACTATTTTCTATAATGGCTATACTTATTCACATTCCCACCAACAGTATGGAAGAGTTCCTTTTTCTTGACAACCTCACCAGCATGTGTTATCTTTTGTCTTTTTAATATTAATTATTCTAACAGATATAAGGTTATATCTCATTGTGGTTTTCATTTGCATTTCTCTGCTGACTATTAATTTAGTATTTTTTCATATACCTGTTGGCCATTTGCATGTCTTCCTTTGAGAAATGTCTATCTATTCAGGTCATTTGATCATTTTTTAACTGCATTACTTGTTTTCTTTAACTGGGTTATATATAATGTATACACATATTTTATTATTATTATACTTTAAGTTCTAGGGTACATGTGCACAACGTGCAGGTTTGTTACGTATGTAAAATTAAAAAATTTTAAAAAAGATCAAGTGTGTCTCACAGGTCTACTCAACCAAACCAGAGGACCTCTAGGAAGCTTTGTGGTGTGGTCCCCTCTGCCATCTATGTAGAAGCCAAAAAATACAGAAGAGGTTATTTCAAAAACACCTGGCTTTTGTCTAATGGATGAATATTATTGAAACCTAAGAAGGTTTCACAAAGTGTTTGCGAAAACTGCTTCATCAGGTATAGTGCCAGCACTGTCTAAAAAGACCAGGAAGAATACAAGAAGGAAAGAAGACTATAAAAGATATGAAATAAGGCTTACATCTGGAAGATATAAAATTGTGATGATTTATGTACCTAACAGAGCCCGCAAAGACATAAAAACAGAAGTCAACAGATTTAAAGGGAGAAATAGGCAATTCTACAATAATAATCAGAAATATCAATACCCAAATTTTATTAACAGATAAAATAATTTACAAGAATATCAACAAGAAAACAAAAGACTTGAACAACCACTACACACAAACTAAATATTACAGATGTCTATAGAACACACCACCTATCACAACAGATGAACATTCTTTTCAAGAGGCATGGAACTTTCTCCAGCATAGACCATAAAACAAGCCTTAATAAGTTGAAAAGAGATTTGTTGTTGTTGTTGTTGTTGTTGTTGTTGTTGTTGTTGTTGTTGTTTGAGACAGAATCTCCCTCTGTTGCCCAGGCTGGAGTGCAGTGGCATGATCTAGGCTCAAGGCAACCTCCACCTCCCACGTTCAGAAGTTTGAGACCAGCCTGGCCAACATGGTGAAATCCCATCTCTATTAAAAATATGAACCCATTCTGGTTTCTTTCAGATTACAATAAAATGAAATGGGACTTTAATAACAAAAGGGAATTTAGAAACTCACAAATATGTGGAAATCAACACAACCTAAATAAGAAATGAAAGAAATCAAAAGAGAAGTTAAAAAATACTTTGAGATGAATGAAAAATGAAGATACAACATATCAAAATTTACAGGGTACAGCTGAAGCAATGCTTAGAGAAAAATTTATAGCAGTAAATGTTTATAATTATAAAAAACAGATCTCAAATTCATGCAAACTTCCACCTGAAGACACTGGAAAAACAGAGCAAACTAAATCTAAGGTAAGTAAAAGAAACAAAATAATAAAAATTAGAGCTGAATTTCATGAAATTGAAAAGAGAAAAATCAATAAAACCAAAAGCTGATTCTGTGAAAACATTACCAAAATTGACAACACTTCAGCTAGATTAACCAAGAAAACGGAGAAGACTCAAATTATTAGAAGTGGAAATGAAAGGTGAAACATCACTACAGGCTTTTTTTTTTTTTTTTTTAGACGGAGTCTTGCTCTGTCGCCCAGGGTAGAGTACAGTGGCACAATCTCAGCTCACTGCAACCTCCGCCTCCCGGGTCCAAGCAATTCTCTGCCTCCGCCTCCCAAGTAATTGGGATTACAGGCACCTGCCACCATGCTCAGCTAATTTTTTGTATTTTTAGTGGAGACGGGGTTTCACCATGTTGGCCAGGCTGGTCTTGATCTCCTGACCTCATGATCCACCCAGCTCAGCTTCCCAAAGTGCTGGGATTACAGGCGTGAGCCACCACGCCTGACAAACATCACTACAGACTTTTAAAAAACAAAAGGAATTATAACTGATTACTATGAACAATTGTATGCCAATAACATAAAATAGCATAACGACTGAAATGAAATGGACAGATTCCTAGAAAGACATAAAACACTGAAACTGATTTGAGAAAAATATAGATAATCTAATAGCCCTACATCAATTAAATATTTGAATTAATCATAATTAAAAAACCTACCCACAAAGAAAAGCCCAGACCCAGAAGCCTTCACTGGTGAATTCCACAAAACATTGAAAGAAGAGCTAATACCAATTATTCACAAACATGTCCACAAAATAGAAGAGAAGGGATCACCTCTCAACTCATTCTATGAGGTGAAGATAACCATGATAACAGCGCCAAAGACACTGCAAGAAAAGAAAATTGCAGACCAATACCTGCTATAAAGATACAAAAATGCTCCACAAAATACTAGCACAATAAAATCCAGCAATATATGACATGACCGGGTAGAATTTGTCCCAGGAATGCAATGTTGTTTTAACTACCAAAAACCAAAAATATACCATATAAATAAATAAATAAACAAAAAACAAATGATCATCTCAATAGATGCAGAGAAAGCATTTGGCAACATCCAACACCTTTCATGATTAAAAACACTCCACAATTAAGAACAGATAGAAACTTCTTCAACTTCATAAACGGCATTTATGAAAACCTAGTTACCATTCCACTTAACTCACACAATTCCATAATTAGAAATTCTTCCAGCTCTAGAAATAAAATCTGCCCAATTTTAATAATGGACAAAAAATCTGAATATGACTTCTCCAAAGAAAATATACAAGTGGCCATGAAGCCTATGAAAAGATATTCAACATCATTAGCCACCAGTGAAATGTAAATAAAACCCACAATGAGATACACACTAAGGTGTGTGTCACATCCACTAAAGTGTCTGTAATCAAAACAGCAGATAATAACAAGGGTTGGGAGAATGTGGAGAAATTAGAAACTTCATATACTACTGGTGGGAATGTAAGGTGTGATCACTTTAGATGACAGTCTAGCAGTTTCTCAAATGATTGAAACATATGATTCAGCAATTTCACTCCTAGGTATACATGTAAGAGAAAACATATCCACAAAAATTGTGTATATAAATGTTCATAATAGTATATTTGCAATAGTAAAAAACTGGAAACAACCCCAAATGCCCATCAACTGGTGAATGGACAAACAAAAATGTGGTATATTTATACAATGAAATATTTGGTAATCAAAATAAGTTGAGTACTGGCACGCTGTAACATGGATGAACCTCAAAAACATTGTGCTGAGTGAAAGAAGCTAGTCACAGAGGGCCACACATACTATGATTCCATGTATATAAAATGTCCAAAATAGGCACATCTATTAGAGATTGAAAGTACATTAGGGGTTGCCTATGGCTGAAGAGATGGGGATTTTGAGGAGTGATTGCTAAGTGACACCAGTTTTCAGAGTAATGAAAATGGTATAAGGTTGATTGTGGTGATGAATGCAGAACTCTGAAGAAGCTAAAAGCCACTGAATGGTCCCATTTATATGAGTGAATTGTGTGTTATGTGAATTATATCTCAATAAAGCTGTGGGAAATAAAAATATATGCCTAACATAATCATTAGGAGAATGCAAATTAAAACCACAATGAGAAACTACTACACATCTATTTTAATAGCTAAATTATATGTTTTTCAAATCTGATACTACTAAGAGCTGAAGAGGAAGTACAGCAATAGCAATTCCTACAGTTGCTGGTAAGGATGCAATTTGGGAAACATCATAAAAGGTTATAACATATTTAATTCTAGTTACTTATTCATGGGTTCATGTGCCTAGTAGACTGAAATCTCTGAAGGAAAGCTCTTAGATTTATTACCCTCCACATCCCTAGAGCTCAGCTCAGGGATCCTTGCTGAGTTGCTGCTAATAAATATGCCAGGAATTGGACTGAACTGGAGCTTCAGTCACACACCTAGATACCAAATCTGGATTCTGTTCAATCATTAAAGCCTATAAAGGAGGCTGCATACAAAAGCTGAAGCCATGATTTGGTCCCAAAGGGACAGAGGTCGCATGAAGGCAAAGCCCACATCCGGGGCTTTGTTAAACCATGCAAATCCATTACCAGGAGGGTGCCTGCACATAAGAGGCACACCACGCAGGTAGGCCAGATCAGTTTGTTTGTGATGAAGGTAAAATAAGATGAATGATGGTCATTATTCTAACTGTATACATTGAGAAATTTTTTATATACTAAGTCAAGTCCTGAAGAAAAGATAAATGTGTCCCATAAACACACAGTTTTTTTTTTTCAAGCCAGGATAAAACTCAACGTTTTTTTTGCCTCTGACCTGTATTTACTTGCCCCCTCACTATACACTCACATCTCCTCACTAACTTCAGAACCTTGCTATACAACTTTTAAAACAAGGGATGTTGAATAAGGCTGGTGTCATTGTTCCTCCAGCAGAAATGCAGGAAGCCATTCTGTACTTACAGTAGCCAGACAGATGTCCTGTAGGCCTGTGGTTCTGCAGCTCTGACTCAGTCCCCAGGGCAATGTGAGATTTCTTGTTGGAATCTTGCAAAAGCATCAAAAACACCTTTCGGAGAAAAAAAAACGCCATGTATTATTTTATGTTTCTATACACATCGCATTTCTTTTCTTCTGCCTCAATTGCCTAATCCGGTTGTGACAACATATGCCAAACACACCCCATATATTTCATTTAGCCATCCATTTAATTGGCATAACTCTAAGACTACCTAGGTCTCAGCAAAACAGGCTACCCATAGGATGCAAAGATGAATGAAACTTGACTGTGAACTCCCAGACCCTCACGGGCTAGTGGAGGCTGGTCAAATGCATAGGCAGTGGTAGGCAGGGAGGGGACAGATAGCAACACAGTGTATCCAATTCAACTTAAGTTTGTGACTCACTGTACCAGCATCTTAGGAATTCAGAGGTGAATCAGACAATAAAATTGCAATGCTCAGTTTACTTACAGTAGATGGGATCTCATACATAAAAATCCCCATTAAATGTATGCTTTCCATGGGCTATGATATATGATGTCACTAAGGTAGTTAATCAAATAACTTGCTTGAAGTCATTTCTTGGTTAGTAGTGGAGGCAGAAGTCCAACCTCAGTTTATTCAAAGCCAAATACTATGACTAAAGTAGCAAAAATAAGGTGAGAAAGCAGAAGTGCAAGCAGACACAAAGGGAAATGAGGTGGGGTGGAGACATCGAGGGCCTTGAGCTGCACCTGGATCGCTGGCAGGGATTTATGGAGTGATGGAAAGAGAATCTCTAAAATAAACATTGGGCAATTCACGAGAAGCATACAAGTCAAGGAGACATCGCCCTGCAGCAGCACAGTCCTAACTGCTGGAGTTCCACTCTTGGCAAGATGTGGGCCGGCTCTGTCTGCAGGCATAGGACTGCACCACGCAGAGTGTTGGCTGCCTCGTTGTATTAATAAAACAGAGATGATGATCACAGTATTTAAAGTTCAGTAGATGATGGCTGTAAAGTGCCAGGCACAGACTCTGGAAGCATGCAGTAAGTCTTCTATTATTCATGTGGTTAGCCAAGGTTTCCTGAACGTTCTCTGTGGGCCATGCACAAAGCTAGGCACTGTGCATTGCCACTCTCTCCCTTAGCATCATCTGTGCAGGTGCTTCCATCACCCCTTCCTCTGCACGTATCCATAGAGATATTGGTCCCTGGCCCTGGCCCCTCTCCAAGTGACTCCTGCTGGGCCAGCGTCACTGTCCATCCAGCTGGTACCTCCCACCCAATGCCCTGGGTAGTGAAGTCCTATACCTGCATATACAGATCTCAGCCCACACTGAGCACCCTGCCTCACTTCTGATTTCTCTACACAACCTCACCATTCTGATTCCTCTAAACAAGCAAAAAGGGATTGACTGTCTCTAGATGTTCCTGAGGAGCCCCTAACCACAGGGAAAGATGGGGGAAGGCACCAGAAAGAAGAAGCCATGAGCAAGCAAGCCTTCAGGAGAGGCATGCAATATCTCCGCACGTGGTTAATTAGTTTGCATGGAATCCTACTGAGCAAAATCTGCATGAGTAGCACTAGTGAAAGGTCAGATGCAGCTACCTTCATGTGAAAGATAACACTTTGCTGATTCTCAGTAAGACTCCAAGGAAAAGCTGTAAACCTCACTACTATTGCAAATAATAATAAGAAGAAGAATGATTAATAACATTTCTGAGTGTGCGCCAGCCATGTGACCTTGAACACATTATTTTACCACTCTTTAACTTAGTTTCCTCACATGATAAATGGTAATAAATAAGAGGCCGGGCGCGGTGGCTCACGCCTGTAATCCCAGCACTTTGGGAGGCCGAGGCGGGCGGATCACGAGGTCAGGAGATCGAGACCATCCTGGCTAACACAGTGAAACCTCGTCTCTACTAAAAATACAAAAAATTAGCCGGGCGAGGTGGCGGGCGCCTGTAGTCCCAGCTACTCCGGAGGCTGAGGCAGGAGAATGGCGTGAACCCCAGGGGGCGGAGCCTGCAGTGAGCCGAGATTGCGCCACTGCACTCCAACCTGGGCGACAGCGAGACTCCATCTCGAAAAAATAAATAAATAAATAAATAAATAAGACATATTATAGGATTGTTGCAAGCAATAAATGCATTTATATATAAAGTTATAAAAACGATGCCTGGCATGTAGCATGCTGGCAATGTCTGGTCTCAACAGTAGCTAGATAAGGATGAGTAAGTGTAGTAGGGTGTATGTGCTATGTTTCATCATGTAATTCTCAGATCAATCTGATGAGATGAGTACTATTATCCTTGCTTAAGATGAGGGCACTGAGGCTTAGTGCAGTAAGTCTTCACCTAGTGCATTTATAGGGAATTAAATAGGAAACAATAGAAATAGTGAAAATCAAGAATTATTCATTGACTAAAGATTTTCCTTTATATCTTATTCTAAATGGAATTTTCATTTAATGGTCATATTTAACTATGATTATATGAAGCATACCTTGATAACTAAGGCATTATTGATAACAATATTCATCTGTCCTTTTTAAATTTTCCTTTTCTAGCCCCTCTCATAAAAGGCCATAGTTGTATGTGGCGGGGAGGAGGGTGTGTGTGTGTGAGTGTGTATGAACATGTGTGAATGTATATGCACATGTTTGAATGCACACATTTGTGGGCATGTGTGTGTTAGAGGAGGAAACAGAATAAGGACAGAGTTTTTGCCCTCAATAATCTCACAGATCAGCAGGAGATACAATCAATTATGGTACGGCACTAAGTATCTGGGTACAATGTGTCTGAAAATTCTGGAACTTTGCCTATGAACAGTGAAAGGCAAGCCTAAGACCATCAGAATGTTATGCGTGCCATCAAGTGGCAACTCACCTTAACTGCAGGCAGGCTGTCCGGGAGGCTCTGAGATTTTGACAAAATGTCAAAGTAGCCCAATTAACAGAGAGGGCAAATAAAGGTTACTCTTTTCAAAAGCAATATGACACTGATCACTGTAATCAAAGATTTGGAGTCTTGATGGCAGACTTTGCCTTTGTTATTTTGCATTATAATTCTCACACTGAATCACACAGACAGCAACTGTAAAACTCCCCTTGGCAAGTATTTCAGGTAACCCTAACATCCAGAATAGAACATTACCCAGGGATTTAATGAAAGAAAACTTACAAGAAGGCTCCTAACATTTCACTGAATTCTGGACATAGAATTTCCACATTACATCATTTTACAGTAAGTCCTCACTTAGCGTCATCAGTAAGTTGTTGTTCACAACTGCAACTTTCAGCAAAAGGACATACAGCAGGTCCTCAAATAATGTCATCTCATTCAACGCCATTTTGTTATAATGTTGATGAGGGAAAAAAAGTTGTTTTGCTTAAAGTCTTAGTTTCCAAGAACCCATCAACAATGTTAACTGAGTTCTCACTGTATTCCTTCTTATCTGATACATACTTTCCAGCAATATTTAAATCACTATTTATACCGAAAGGTGTTCTTCAAGTTTTTTAAAGTAATTCAAATAAAGAAACGTAAACTCTCTTTCATTTCAACAATTATGAGGAGATGCAAAATACTGCAAAAATATTCTTATTAAGAGTATAAAAGTCCTGATCAAAACATATAAACAATCTTCCAAAAGAGATAGAAATAAAGGTTAGGCAACTGCACAGGAAGTGAATGCAGGCTAAACATCTAATGTCCTGGCTACACTTTCCAATTTAAGAAGAATGCTGCGTTTGTGCATTTAGTATGGAATGACATTATTTATACATATGTCTTCCTCCTCTTTTGGTGGTATTTTCTATCATTGTAACTGAATATAGGCCATAAGCCAATTCAAATGGACCAAATAAGACCTACACCTTCCCACTTTCATACAAAAGAAGTAGAATATTCTTTTCAATCTTATCTAATGTTTTGAATTTCACTGAAATTACAAGCTTCTCAAGTCAAAGGACAATCAAGTTGGTCAAACTAGTCATTAATTTTTAGGTAAATTCATCACACAAAGTAAATAAGAATAAAATAAGACATGATGAAATTATGTCTAAAGGACACTAACTAGCATGAAAGTAATTTAAAATGTAACAAAAATATGCTTTAAAAGCAATGCCTATGGTGTATCCACTCTTTCTTTTCAAGGGACAGTAAATTCAAAAGTTTTGGGATTCTTCATTTGGGGATCTACATCTCCTTAATTTAAAAGAGCTTTGAGGTCTAGGCATTTATGACAGCCCAGTGTCATCTCTACACTGATTGTGCTATCAGTCCCTCAGCCATGAGTCCTATGCCCCATCCTTTTGGGTTCTCTGTTTAAAGGGTGTTGTCAAGCAGCATGAGACCCCAGATATGATCTACACTTAAAGTGTCAGTTTGATGGATTGTGTCCTGGAGATGGTCAGTGCAAGGTACTTTTTTGCTTAGATGCTAGAGAAATTTTTGAAGCTGACCAAATTTTTGTAAGACAAGGACAATGGAACCCAGCTGAGTGATGACTTGAGCAGAGGAAGAATTTCCAAACTTGACCTACATGTCACATAAGATGTACTCTTTCTGTTTCCCCAAAGTGATTGTTTTTTAAGGAAGCAGAAGATGAAAACACATGGACAACTTAGATGATACGAAACACTAGAGGTACTAGCAACTGCTCTCTAAATATGGGATCTTGGGCAGGGCTGTCCCCTGACATGCTAACACAATGCATGCAGCAAGATTTGTTATTTTACAGGAGCTTGTATGAATTTCCTATCACTGCTGTAACAAATTACCACAAATGTGGTGGCTTAAGACAATGTATTTAGTATCTTACAGTTCTGGGGGTCAGAAGCCTAATATGGGCCTTCCTGGGCTAAAATCAAGGGATAATATACTCCCTGGACTTTCCCAACTTCTAGTGGCTGCCAATATTGTTTGGCCAATGGCCCCAGCCTCCATCTTTAAAGCTCATCTCTCCAACTGCTGCCTCATCATAACATCACCTTCTTCCTCTCTGACCTTCCTCGATCCCCCTTTGATGTATCCTTTTGATTACATCAAGTCCACCCAGATAATTTGGGATATCTCCTGCCACAGTCCCATATGGGTAACACTTACAGGCTTCAGTGATAAGGACGTGGACGTCGCTGGGGGACCATTATCCAGCCTGTCCTAGAACTATCACACCATCAACACACCTTTGAAACAAGGGCTGTTGATTTGAGGTGTCCCTGGAGACTACAGAACAGGAGACGTTGGTAAGTAGAGTAGAAAATTTTGGAGTCCAACACAAAATGAAAAAAAATTCAATGTCTGATTTTGGTCAGCTCATTACCTTTTTGGTCTCTTGGTCTCTCAGTTTGCTTATTCGTACAAGGGGAAGATTAAAAGACATAAGTTATAAAAAGTCAATTCTAGTTCACACTCAGGCTCTGTGACATCCTATAACACCTTGTTATAAACAGAATGCAAAGAATGGGTCACAGCACTCCAGTCAAAGGGCTGATAGCACAGTCAGTGTTAACAAGACAGCAGGCTGTCTGCATAAATGCTTAGACCATGAGACTGTTCTAAGTTAAGAAGACCTTAGCCCCCAAATGAAGAATCCTCAAAATACTGAATGTATTGTTCTTTAGGAAAAAAGAAAAAAAAGAAAAAAACAACAACAAACAGGATGTCACATGAAAGAAAAAGGGAACAGGGTCTCTCAAAAAAGTACCTGCTTCCTTCTCTTCCTTCCTCCCTCTTTCTTCCTTCTTTCCTTTTTTCTTTTTTTTTTTTTTTTTTTTTTTT